>NC_000020.11:27295635-27504366 GCF_000001405.40 Homo sapiens | reverse complement strand
TCTGTCTAGTTTTCATGGGAAGATATTTCCTTTTTCACCATAGGCCTGAAAGCGATCCAAATGTCCACATCCAGATACTACAAAAAGAGTGTTTCAAACCTGCTCTATGAAAGGGAATGTTCAACTCTGTGACTTGAATGCAAACATCACAAAGAAGTTTCTGAGAATGCTGCTCTCTGCTTTTTGTATGTAATCCCGTTTCCAACGAAATCCTCCCAGCTAGCCAAATATCCACTTGCAGATTCCGCAAAAAGAGTGTTTCAAAACTGCTCCTTCAAAACGATGGTTTAGTTCTGTTAGTTGAGTACATACATCACAGATAAGTTTCTGAGAATGCTTCTGTCTAGTTTTTATGGGAGGATATTTCCTTTTTCAACACAAGCCTGAATGCGCTCCGAATGGACACTTCCAGATATGACAAAAGGCGTGTTTCAAACCTGCTCTCTCAAAGGGAATGTTCAACTCTGTGACTTCAATGCAAATATCACAAAGAAGTTTCTGAGAATGCTGCTGTCTGCTTTTTACATGTATTCCCGTTTCCAACGAAATCCTCAAAGCTGCCCTAATATCCACTTGCATATTCCACAAAAAGAGTGTTGCAAAACTGCTCTCTCAAAAGAAAGGTTCAACTCTGTTAGCTGAGTAGATCCATCACAGAAAAGTTTCTGACGTTGCTTCTATCTAGATTTTCTTGGAAGATATTTCCATTTTCACCGTCGTCCTGAAAGCGCTCCAAATGTCCACTTCCAGGGAATGCAGAAAGAGTGTTTCCAACCTGCTCTATAAAAGGGAATGTTCAACACTGGGACTTCAATCGAAACATCCCAACGAAGTTTCTGAGAATGCTTCTGTCTAGAGTTTATATGAAGCCATTCCCGTTTGCAACGAAATCCTCAAAGCTATCCAAATATCCTCTTGCAGATTTTACAAAAAGAGTGTTTCAAAACTGCTCTATCAAAAGAAAGGTTCAACTCTGTTAGTTGAGGGCACACATCACAAATAAACTTCTGAGAATGCTTCTGTCTAGTTTTTACGGGAAGATATTTCCTTTTTCACCATACGCCTGAAAGCGCTCCAAATGTCCTCATCCAGATACTACAAAAAGAGTGTTTCCAACGTGCTCTAGGAAAGGGAATGCTCAACTCTGTGAATTGAATGCAGACATCACAAAGAAGTTTCTGAGAATGCTGCTGTCTCCTTTGTATATGTAATCCCGTTTCCAACGAAATCCTCAAAGCTAGCCAAATATCCACTTGCAGATTCCACGAAAACAGTGTTTCAAAACTGCTCCTTCAAAACGATGGTTCAATCCTGTTAGTTGAGCAAACACATCACAAATAAGTTTCTGAGAATGCTTCCGTCTAGTTTTTATGGGAAGATATTTCCTTTTTCAACATAGGCCTGAAAGCGCTCCAAATGTCCACTTCCAGATACTACAAAAAGAGTGTTTCAAATCTGCTCTATGAATGGGAATGTTCTACTCTGTGACTTGAATGCAACATCCCAAAGAAGTTTCTGAGAATGCTTCTGTCTAGAGTTTATCTGAAGACATACCCGTTTCCAACGAAATCCTCCAAGCTATCCAAATATCCTCTTGCAGATTCTACAAAAAGAGTGTTTCAAAGCTGCTCTTTGCAAAGAAAGGTTCAACTCTGTCAGTAGAGGGCACACATCATGAACAAGTTTCTGAGAATGCTTCTGTCTAGTTTTTATGGGAAGATATTTCCTTTTTCACGTTAGGCCTGAAAGCACGCCAAATGTTCACTTATAGACACTACAAAAAGAGTGTTTCAAACCTGCTCTGTGAAAGGGAATGTTCAACACTGTGACTTCAATTGAAACATCCCAAAGAAGTTTCTGAGAATGCTTCTGTCTAGAGTTTATCTGAAGACATTCCCGTTTCCCAAGAAATCTTCAAAGCTATCCAAATATCCTCTTGCAGATTCTACAAAAAGAGTGTTTCAAAACTGCTCTTTGCAAAGAAAGGTTCAACTCTGTCAGTAGAGGGCACACATCACAAACAAGTTTCTGAGAATGCTTCTGTCTAGTTTTTATGGGAAGATATTTCCTTTTTCACCTTAGGCCTGAAAGCAATCCATATGTTCACTTACAGACACTACAAAAAGAGTGTTTCAAACCTGCTCTGTGAAAGGGAGTGTTCAATTCTGTGACTTGAATGCAAACATCACAAAGTAGTTTCTGACAATGCTGCTGTCTGCTTTTTATACGTATTCCCGTTTCCAACGAAATCCTCCAAGCTGGCCTAATACCCACTTGCATATTCCACAAAAAGAGTGTTTCAAAACTGCTCTCTCAAAAGAAAGGTTCAACTCTGTGTGCTGAGTAGATACATCATGAAAAAAGTTCTGACATTGCTTCTATCTAGTTTTTATTGGAAGATATCTCCTTTTTCACCGTAGACCTGAAAGCGCTCCAAATGTCCACTTCCAGATAGTACAAAAAGAGTGTTTCAAACCTGCTCTATGAATGGGAATGTTCAACACTGGGACTTCAATTGAAACATCCCAAAGCAGTTTCTGAGAATGCTTCTGTGTAGAGTTTACATGAAGACATTCCCGTTTCCAACGAAATCCTCAAAGCTATCCAAATATCCTCTTGCAGATTTTACAAAAAGTGTGTTTCAGAACTGCTCTATCAAAACAAAGGTTCAACACTGTCAGTTGAGGGCACACATCACAAATAAGTTTCTGAGAATGCTTCTGTCTAGTTTTCATGGGAAGATATTTCCTTTTTCACCATAGGCCTGAAAGCGATCCAAATGTCCACATCCAGATACTACAAAAAGAGTGTTTCAAACCTGCTCTATGAAAGGGAATGTTCAACTCTGTGACTTGAATGCAAACATCACAAAGAAGTTTCTGAGAATGCTGCTGTCTGCTTTTTGTATGTAATCCCGTTTCCAACGAAATCCTCCCAGCTAGCCAAATATCCACTTGCAGATTCCGCAAAAAGAGTGTTTCAAAACTGCTCCTTCAAAACGATGGTTTAGTTCTGTTAGTTGAGTACATACATCACAGATAAGTTTCTGAGAATGCTTCTGTCTAGTTTTTATGGGAGGATATTTCCTTTTTCAACACAAGCCTGAATGCGCTCCGAATGGACACTTCCAGATATGACAAAAGGCGTGTTTCAAACCTGCTCTCTCAAAGGGAATGTTCAACTCTGTGACTTCAATGCAAACATCACAAAGAAGTTTCTGAGAATGCTGCTGTCTGCTTTTTACATGTATTCCCGTTTCCAACGAAATCCTCAAAGCTGCCCTAATATCCACTTGCATATTCCACAAAAAGAGTGTTGCAAAACTGCTCTCTCAAAAGAAAGGTTCAACTCTGTTAGCTGAGTAGATCCATCACAGAAAAGTTTCTGACGTTGCTTCTACCTAGATTTTCTTGGAAGATATTTCCATTTTCACCGTCGTCCTGAAAGCGCTCCAAATGTCCACTTCCAGGGAATGCAGAAAGAGTGTTTCCAACCTGCTCTATAAAAGGGAATGTTCAACACTGGGACTTCAATCGAAACATCCCAACGAAGTTTCTGAGAATGCTTCTGTCTAGAGTTTATATGAAGCCATTCCCGTTTGGAACGAAATCCTCAAAGCTATCCAAATATCCTCTTGCAGATTTTACAAAAAGAGTGTTTCAAAACTGTTCTATCAAAAGAAAGGTTCAACTCTGTTAGTTGAGGGCACACATCACATATAAATTTCTGAGAATGCTTCTGTCTAGTTTTTACGGAAGATATTTCCTTTTTCACCATACGCCTGGAAGCGCTCCAAATGTCCTCATCCAGATACTACAAAAAGAGTGTTTCCAACCTGCTCTATGAAAGGGAACGCTCAACTCTGTGACTTGAATGCAGACATCACAAAGAAGTTTCTGAGAATGCTGCTGTCTCCTTTGTATATGTAATCCCGTTTCCAACGAAATCCTCAAAGCTAGCCAAATATCCACTTGCAGATTCCACGAAAACAGTGTTTCAAAACTGCTCCTTCAAAACGATGGTTCAATTCTGTTAGTTGAGCAAACACATCACAAGTAAGTTTCTGAGAATGCTTCCGTCTAGTTTTTATGGGAAGATATTTCCTTTTTCAACATAGGCCTGAAAGCGCTCCAAATGTCCACTTCCAGATACTACAAAAAGAGTGTTTCAAATCTGCTCTATGAATGGGAATGTTCTACTCTGTGACTTGAATGCAACATCCCAAAGAAGTTTCTGAGAATGCTTCTGTCTAGAGTTTATCTGAAGACATACCCGTTTCCAACGAAATCCTCAAAGCTATCCAAATATCCTCTTGCAGATTCTACAAAAGGAGTGTTTCAAAGATGCTCTTTGCAAAGAAAGGTTCAACTCTGTCAGTAGAGGGCACACATCATGAACAAGTTTCTGAGAATGCTTCTGTCTAGTTTTTATGGGAAGATATTTCCTTTTTCACGTTAGGCCTGAAAGCACGCCAAATGTTCACTTATAGACACTACAAAAAGAGTGTTTCAAACCTGCTCTGTGAAAGGGAATGTTCAACACTGTGACTTCAATTGAAACGTCCCAAAGAAGTTTCTGAGTATGCTTCTGTCTAGAGTTTATCTGAAGACATTCCCGTTTCCCAAGAAATCCTCAAAGCTATCCAAATATCCTCTTGCAGATTCTACAAAAAGAGTGTTTCAAAACTGCTCTTTGCAAAGAAAGGTTCAACTCTGTCAGTAGAGGGCACACATCACAAACAAGTTTCTGAGAATGCTTCTGTCTAGTTTTTATGGGAAGATATTTCCTTTTTCACCTTAGGCCTGAAAGCAATCCAAATGTTCACTTACAGACACTACAAAAAGAGTGTTTCAAACCTGCTCTGTGAAAGGGAGTGTTCAATTCTGTGACTTGAATGCAAACATCACAAAGTAGTTTCTGACAATGCTGCTGTCTGCTTTTTATACGTATTCCCGTTTCCAACGAAATCCTCCAAGGTGGCCTAATACCCACTTGCATATTCCACAAAAAGAGTGTTTCAAAACTGCTCTCTCAAAAGAAAGGTTCAACTCTGTTTGCTGAGTAGATACATCATGAAAAAAGTTCTGACATTGCTTCTATCTAGTTTTTATTGGAAGATATCTCCTTTTTCACCGTAGACCTGAAAGCGCTCCAAATGTCCACTTCCAGATAGTACAAAAAGAGTGTTTCAAACCTGCTCTATGAATGGGAATGTTCAACACTGGGACTTCAATTGAAACATCCCAAAGCAGTTTCTGAGAATGCTTCTGTCCAGAGTTTACATGAAGACATTCCCGTTTCCAACGAAATCCTCAAAGCTATCCAAATATCCTCTTGCAGATTTTACAAAAAGTGTGTTTCAGAACTGCTCTATCAAAACAAAGGTTCAACACTGTCAGTTGAGGGCACACATCGCAAATAAGTTTCTGAGAATGCTTCTGTCTAGTTTTCATGGGAAGATATTTCCTTTTTCACCATAGGCCTGAAAGCGATCCAAATGTCCACATCCAGATACTACAAAAAGAGTGTTTCAAACCTGCTCTATGAAAGGGAATGTTCAACTCTGTGACTTGAATGCAAACATCACAAAGAAGTTTCTGAGAATGCTGCTGTCTGCTTTTTGTATGTAATCCCGTTTCCAACGAAATCCTCCCAGCTAGCCAAATATCCACTTGCAGATTCCGCAAAAAGAGTGTTTCAAAACTGCTCCTTCAAAACGATGGTTTAGTTCTGTTAGTTGAGTACATACATCACAGATAAGTTTCTGAGAATGCTTCTGTCTAGTTTTTATGGGAGGATATTTCCTTTTTCAACACAAGCCTGAATGCGCTCCGAATGGACACTTCCAGATATGACAAAAGGCGTGTTTCAAACCTGCTCTCTCAAAGGGAATGTTCAACTCTGTGACTTCAATGCAAACATCACAAAGAAGTTTCTGAGAATGCTGCTGTCTGCTTTTTACATGTATTCCCGTTTCCAACGAAATCCTCAAAGCTGCCCTAATATCCACTTGCATATTCCACAAAAAGAGTGTTGCAAAACTGCTCTCTCAAAAGAAAGGTTCAACTCTGTTAGCTGAGTAGATCCATCACATAAAAGTTTCTGACATTGCTTCTATCTAGATTTTCTTGGAAGATATTTCCATTTTCACCGTCGTCCTGAAAGCGCTCCAAATGTCCACTTCCAGGGAATGCAGAAAGAGTGTTTCCAACCTGCTCTATAAAAGGGAATGTTCAACACTGGGACTTCAATCGAAACATCCCAACGAAGTTTCTGAGAATGCTTCTGTCTAGAGTTTATATGAAGCCATTCCCGTTTGCAACGAAATCCTCAAAGCTATCCAAATATCCTCTTGCAGATTTTACAAAAAGAGTGTTTCAAAACTGCTCTATCAAAAGAAAGGTTCAACTCTGTTAGTTGAGGGCACACATCACAAATAAATTTCTGAGAATGCTTCTGTCTAGTTTTTACGGGAAGATATTTCCTTTTTCACCATACGCCTGAAAGCGCTCCAAATGTCCTCATCCAGATACTACAAAAAGAGTGTTTCCAACCGGCTCTATGAAAGGGAATGCTCAACTCTGTGAATTGAATGCAGACATCACAAAGAAGTTTCTGAGAATGCTGCTGTCTCCTTTTTATATGTAATCCCGTTTCCAACGAAATCCTCAAAGCTAGCCAAATATCCACTTGCAGATTCCACGAAAACAGTGTTTCAAAACTGCTCCTTCAAAACGATGGTTCAATTCTGTTAGTTGAGCAAACACATCACAAGTAAGTTTCTGAGAATGCTTCCGTCTAGTTTTTATGGGAAGATATTTCCTTTTTCAACATAGGCCTGAAAGCGCTCCAAATGTCCACTTCCAGATACTACAAAAAGAGTGTTTCAAATCTGCTCTATGAATGGGAATGTTCTACTCTGTGACTTGAATGCAACATCCCAAAGAAGTTTCTGAGAATGCTTCTGTCTAGAGTTTATCTGAAGACATACCCGTTTCCAACGAAATCCTCCAAGCTATCCAAATATCCTCTTGCAGATTCTACAAAAAGAGCGTTTCAAAGCTGCTCTTTGCAAAGAAAGGTTCAACTCTGTCAGTAGAGGGGACACATCAAGAACAAGTTTCTGAGAATGCTTCTGTCTAGTTTTTATGGGAAGATATTTCCTTTTTCACGTTAGGCCTGAAAGCACGCCAAATGTTCACTTATAGACACTACAAAAAGAGTGTTTCAAACCTGCTCTGTGAAAGGGAATGTTCAACACTGTGACTTCAATTGAAACATCCCAAAGAAGTTTCTGAGAATGCTTCTGTCTAGAGTTTATCTGAAGACATTCCCGTTTCCCAAGAAATCCTCAAAGCTATCCAAATATCCTCTTGCAGATTCTACAAAAAGAGTGTTTCAAAACTGCTCTTTGCAAAGAAAGGTTCAACTCTGTCAGTAGAGGGCACACATCACAAACAAGTTTCTGAGAATGCTTCTGTCTAGTTTTTATGGGAAGATATTTCCTTTTTCACCTTAGGCCTGAAAGCAATCCATATGTTCACTTACAGACACTACAAAAAGAGTGTTTCAAACCTGCTCTGTGAAAGGGAGTGTTCAATTCTGTGACTTGAATGCAAACATCACAAAGTAGTTTCTGACAATGCTGCTGTCTGCTTTTTATACGTATTCCCGTTTCCAACGAAATCCTCCAAGCTGGCCAAATACCCACTTGCATATTCCACAGAAAGAGTGTTTCGAAACTGCTCTCTCAAAAGAAAGGTTCAACTCTGTTTGCTGAGTAGATACATCATGAAAAAAGTTCTGACATTGCTTCTATCTAGTTTTTATTGGAAGATATCTCCTTTTTCACCGTAGACCTGAAAGCGCTCCAAATGTCCACTTCCAGATAGTACAAAAAGAGTGTTTCAAACCTGCTCTATGAAAGGGAATGTTCAACACTGGGACTTCAATTGAAACATCCCAAAGCAGTTTCTGAGAATGCTTCTGTCTAGAGTTTACATGAAGACATTCCCGTTTCCAACGAAATCCTCAAAGCTATCCAAATATCCTCTTGCAGATTTTACAAAAAGTGTGTTTCAGAACTGCTCTATCAAAACAAAGGTTCAACACTGTCAGTTGAGGGCACACATCACAAATAAGTTTCTGAGAATGCTTCTGTCTAGTTTTCATGGGAAGATATTTCCTTTTTCACCATAGGCCTGAAAGCGATCCAAATGTCCACATCCAGATACTACAAAAAGAGTGTTTCAAACCTGCTCTATGAAAGGGAATGTTCAACTCTGTGACTTGAATGCAAACATCACAAAGAAGTTTCTGAGAATGCTGCTGTCTGCTTTTTGTATGTAATCCCGTTTCCAACGAAATCCTCCCAGCTAGCCAAATATCCACTTGCAGATTCCGCAAAAAGAGTGTTTCAAAACTGCTCCTTCAAAACGATGGTTTAGTTCTGTTAGTTGAGTACATACATCACAGATAAGTTTCTGAGAATGCTTCTGTCTAGTTTTTATGGGAGGATATTTCCTTTTTCAACACAAGCCTGAATGCGCTCCGAATGGACACTTCCAGATATGACAAAAGGCGTGTTTCAAACCTGCTCTCTCAAAGGGAATGTTCAACTCTGTGACTTCAATGCAAACATCACAAAGAAGTTTCTGAGAATGCTGCTGTCTGCTTTTTACATGTATTCCCGTTTCCAACGAAATCCTCAAAGCTGCCCTAATATCCACTTGCATATTCCACAAAAAGAGTGTTGCAAAACTGCTCTCTCAAAAGAAAGTTTCAACTCTGTTAGCTGAGTAGATCCATCACAGAAAAGTTTCTGACATTGCTTCTATCTAGATTTTCTTGGAAGATATTTCCATTTTCACCGTCGTCCTGAAAGCGCTCCAAATGTCCACTTCCAGGGAATGCAAAAAGAGTGTTTCCAACCTGCTCTATAAAAGGGAATGTTCAACACTGGGACTTCAATCGAAACATCCCAACGAAGTTTCTGAGAATGCTTCTGTCTAGAGTTTATATGAAGCCATTCCCGTTTGCAACGAAATCCTCAAAGCTATCCAAATATCCTCTTGCAGATTTTACAAAAAGAGTGTTTCAAAACTGCTCTATCAAAAGAAAGGTTCAACTCTGTTAGTTGAGGGCACACATCACAAATAAATTTCTGAGAATGCTTCTGTCTAGTTTTTACGGGAAGATATTTCCTTTTTCACCATACGCCTGAAAGCGCTCCAAATGTCCTCATCCAGATACTACAAAAAGAGTGTTTCCAACCTGCTCTATGAAAGGGAATGCTCAACTCTGTGACTTGAATGCAGACATCACAAAGAAGTTTCTGAGAATGCTGCTGTCTCCTTTTTATATGTAATCCCGTTTCCAACGAAATCCTCAAAGCTAGCCAAATATCCACTTGCAGATTCCACGAAAACAGTGTTTCAAAACTGCTCCTTCAAAACGATGGTTCAATTCTGTTAGTTGAGCAAACACATCACAAGTAAGTTTCTGAGAATGCTTCCGTCTAGTTTTTATGGGAAGATATTTCCTTTTTCAACATAGGCCTGAAAGCGCTCCAAATGTCCACTTCCAGATACTACAAAAAGAGTGTTTCAAATCTGCTCTATGAATGGGAATGTTCTACTCTGTGACTTGAATGCAACATCTCAAAGAAGTTTCTGAGAATGCTTCTGTCTAGAGTTTATCTGAAGACATACCCGTTTCCAACGAAATCCTCAAAGCTATCCAAATATCCTCTTGCAGATTCTACAAAAAGAGTGTTTCAAAGCTGCTCTTTGCAAAGAAAGGTTCAACTCTGTCAGTAGAGGGCACACATCAGGAACAAGTTTCTGAGAATGCTTCTGTCTAGTTTTTATGGGAAGATATTTCCTTTTTCACGTTAGGCCTGAAAGCACGCCAAATGTTCACTTATAGACACTACAAAAAGAGTGTTTCAAACCTGCTCTGTGAAAGGGAATGTTCAACACTGTGACTTCAATTGAAATATCCCAAAGAAGTTTCTGAGAATGCTTCTGTCTAGAGTTTATCTGAAGACATTCCGTTTCCCAAGAAATCCTCAAAGCTATCCAAATATCCTCTTGCAGATTCTACAAAAAGAGTGTTTCAAAACTGCTCTTTGCAAAGAAAGGTTCAACTCTGTCAGTAGAGGGCACACATCACAAACAAGTTTCTGAGAATGCTTCTGTCTAGTTTTTATGGGAAGATATTTCCTTTTTCACCTTAGGCCTGAAAGCAATCCATATGTTCACTTACAGACACTACAAAAAGAGTGTTTCAAACCTGCTCTGTGAAAGGGAGTGTTCAATTCTGTGACTTGAATGCAAACATCACAAAGTAGTTTCTGACAATGCTGCTGTCTGCTTTTTATACATATTCCCGTTTCCAACGAAATCCTCCAAGCTGGCCTAATACCCACTTGCATATTCCACAAAAAGAGTGTTTCAAAACTGCTCTCTCAAAAGAAAGGTTCAACTCTGTGTGCTGAGTAGATACATCATGAAAAAAGTTCTGACATTGCTTCTATCTAGTTTTTATTGGAAGATATCTCCTTTTTCACCGTAGACCTGAAAGCGCTCCAAATGTCCACTTCCAGATAGTACAAAAAGAGTGTTTCAAACCTGCTCTATGAATGGGAATGTTCAACACTGGGACTTCAATTGAAACATCCCAAAGCAGTTTCTGAGAATGCTTCTGTGTAGAGTTTACATGAAGACATTCCCGTTTCCAACGAAATCCTCAAAGCTATCCAAATATCCTCTTGCAGATTTTACAAAAAGTGTGTTTCAGAACTGCTCTATCAAAACAAAGGTTCAACACTGTCAGTTGAGGGCACACATCACAAATAAGTTTCTGAGAATGCTTCTGTCTAGTTTTCATGGGAAGATATTTCCTTTTTCACCATAGGCCTGAAAGCGATCCAAATGTCCACATCCAGATACTACAAAAAGAGTGTTTCAAACCTGCTCTATGAAAGGGAATGTTCAACTCTGTGACTTGAATGCAAACATCACAAAGAAGTTTCTGAGAATGCTGCTGTCTCCTTTTTGTATGTAATCCCGTTTCCAACGAAATCCTCCCAGCTAGCCAAATATCCACTTGCAGATTCCGCAAAAAGAGTGTTTCAAAACTGCTCCTTCAAAACGATGGTTTAGTTCTGTTAGTTGAGTACATACATCACAGATAAGTTTCTGAGAATGCTTCTGTCTAGTTTTTATGGGAGGATATTTCCTTTTTCAACACAAGCCTGAATGCGCTCCGAATGGACACTTCCAGATATGACAAAAGGCGTGTTTCAAACCTGCTCTCTCAAAGGGAATGTTCAACTCTGTGACTTCAATGCAAACATCACAAAGAAGTTTCTGAGAATGCTGCTGTCTGCTTTTTACATGTATTCCCGTTTCCAACGAAATCCTCAAAGCTGCCCTAATATCCACTTGCATATTCCACAAAAAGTGTGTTGCAAAACTGCTCTCTCAAAAGAAAGGTTCAACTCTGTTAGCTGAGTAGATCCATCACATAAAAGTTTCTGACGTTGCTTCTATCTAGATTTTCTTGGAAGATATTTCCATTTTCACCGTCGTCCTGAAAGCGCTCCAAATGTCCACTTCCAGGGAATGCAGAAAGAGTGTTTCCAACCTGCTCTATAAAAGGGAATGTTCAACACTGGGACTTCAATCGAAACATCCCAACGAAGTTTCTGAGAATGCTTTCTGTCTAGAGTTTATATGAAGCCATTCCCGTTTGCAACGAAATCCTCAAAGCTATCCAAATATCCTCTTGCAGATTTTACAAAAAGAGTGTTTCAAAACTGCTCTATCAAAAGAAAGGTTCAACTCTGTTAGTTGAGGGCACACATCACAAATAAACTTCTGAGAATGCTTCTGTCTAGTTTTTACGGGAAGATATTTCCTTTTTCACCATACGCCTGAAAGCGCTCCAAATGTCCTCATCCAGATACTACAAAAAGAGTGTTTCCAACCTGCTCTATGAAAGGGAATGCTCAACTCTGTGACTTGAATGCAGACATCACAAAGAAGTTTCTGAGAATGCTGCTGTCTCCTTTTTATATGTAATCCCGTTTCCAACGAAATCCTCAAAGCTAGCCAAATATCCACTTGCAGATTCCACGAAAACAGTGTTTCAAAACTGCTCCTTCAAAACGATGGTTCAATTCTGTTAGTTGAGCAAACACATCACAAGTAAGTTTCTGAGAATGCTTCCGTCTAGTTTTTATGGGAAGATATTTCCTTTTTCAACATAGGCCTGAAAGCGCTCCAAATGTCCACTTCCAGATACTACAAAAAGAGTGTTTCAAATCTGCTCTATGAATGGGAATGTTCTACTCTGTGACTTGAATGCAACATCCCAAAGAAGTTTCTGAGAATGCTTCTGTCTAGAGTTTATCTGAAGACATACCCGTTTCCAACGAAATCCTCCAAGCTATCCAAATATCCTCTTGCAGATTCTACAAAAAGAGTGTTTCAAAGCTGCTCTTTGCAAAGAAAGGTTCAACTCTGTCAGTAGAGGGCACACATCATGAACAAGTTTCTGAGAATGCTTCTGTCTAGTTTTTATGGGAAGATATTTCCTTTTTCACGTTAGGCCTGAAAGCACGCCAAATGTTCACTTATAGACACTACAAAAAGAGTGTTTCAAACCTGCTCTGTGAAAGGGAATGTTCAACACTGTGACTTCAATTGAAACGTCCCAAAGAAGTTTCTGAGTATGCTTCTGTCTAGAGTTTATCTGAAGACATTCCCGTTTCCCAAGAAATCCTCAAAGCTATCCAAATATCCTCTTGCAGATTCTACAAAAAGAGTGTTTCAAAACTGCTCTTTGCAAAGAAAGGTTCAACTCTGTCAGTAGAGGGCACACATCACAAACAAGTTTCTGAGAATGCTTCTGTCTAGTTTTTATGGGAAGATATTTCCTTTTTCACCATAGGCCTGAAAGCAATCCAAATGTTCACTTACAGACACTACAAAAAGAGTGTTTCAAACCTGCTCTGTGAAAGGGAGTGTTCAATTCTGTGACTTGAATGCAAACATCACAAAGTAGTTTCTGACAATGCTGCTGTCTGCTTTTTATACGTATTCCCGTTTCCAACGAAATCCTCCAAGCTGGCCTAATACCCACTTGCATATTCCACAAAGACAGTGTCAAAACTGCTCTCTCAAAAGAAAGGTTCAACTCTGTTTGCTGAGTAGATACATCATGAAAAAAGTTCTGACATTGCTTCTATCTAGTTTTTATTGGAAGATATCTCCTTTTTCACCGTAGACCTGAAAGCGCTCCAAATGTCCACTTCCAGATAGTACAAAAAGAGTGTTTCAAACCTGCTCTATGAATGGGAATGTTCAACACTGGGACTTCAATTGAAACATCCCAAAGCAGTTTCTGAGAATGCTTCTGTCTAGAGTTTACATGAAGACATTCCCGTTTCCAACGAAATCCTCAAAGCTATCCAAATATCCTCTTGCAGATTTTACAAAAAGTGTGTTTCAGAACTGCTCTATCAAAACAAAGGTTCAACACTGTCAGTTGAGGGCACACATCACAAATAAGTTTCTGAGAATGCTTCTGTCTAGTTTTCATGGGAAGATATTTCCTTTTTCACCATAGGCCTGAAAGCGATCCAAATGTCCACATCCAGATACTACAAAAAGAGTGTTTCAAACCTGCTCTATGAAAGGGAATGTTCAACTCTGTGACTTGAATGCAAACATCACAAAGAAGTTTTCTGAGAATGCTGCTGTCTGCTTTTTGTATGTAATCCCGTTTCCAACGAAATCCTCCCAGCTAGCCAAATATCCACTTGCAGATTCCGCAAAAAGAGTGTTTCAAAACTGCTCCTTCAAAACGATGGTTTAGTTCTGTTAGTTGAGTACATACATCACAGATAAGTTTCTGAGAATGCTTCTGTCTAGTTTTTATGGGAGGATATTTCCTTTTTCAACACAAGCCTGAATGCGCTCCGAATGGACACTTCCAGATATGACAAAAGGCGTGTTTCAAACCTGCTCTCTCAAAGGGAATGTTCAACTCTGTGACTTCAATGCAAACATCACAAAGAAGTTTCTGAGAATGCTGCTGTCTGCTTTTTACATGTATTCCCGTTTCCAACGAAATCCTCAAAGCTGCCCTAATATCCACTTGCATATTCCACAAAAAGAGTGTTGCAAAACTGCTCTCTCAAAAGAAAGGTTCAACTCTGTTAGCTGAGTAGATCCATCACATAAAAGTTTCTGACATTGCTTCTATCTAGATTTTCTTGGAAGATATTTCCATTTTCACCGTCGTCCTGAAAGCGCTCCAAATGTCCACTTCCAGGGAATGCAGAAAGAGTGTTTCCAACCTGCTCTATAAAAGGGAATGTTCAACACTGGGACTTCAATCGAAACATCCCAACGAAGTTTCTGAGAATGCTTCTGTCTAGAGTTTATATGAAGCCATTCCCGTTTGCAACGAAATCCTCAAAGCTATCCAAATATCCTCTTGCAGATTTTACAAAAAGAGTGTTTCAAAACTGCTCTATCAAAAGAAAGGTTCAACTCTGTTAGTTGAGGGCACACATCACAAATAAATTTCTGAGAATGCTTCTGTCTAGTTTTTACGGGAAGATATTTCCTTTTTCACCATACGCCTGAAAGCGCTCCAAATGTCCTCATCCAGATACTACAAAAAGAGTGTTTCCAACCTGCTCTATGAAAGGGAATGCTCAACTCTGTGACTTGAATGCAGACATCACAAAGAAGTTTCTGAGAATGCTGCTGTCTCCTTTTTATATGTAATCCCGTTTCCAACGAAATCCTCAAAGCTAGCCAAATATCCACTTGCAGATTCCACGAAAACAGTGTTTCAAAACTGCTCCTTCAAAACGATGGTTCAATTCTGTTAGTTGAGCAAACACATCACAAGTAAGTTTCTGAGAATGCTTCCGTCTAGTTTTTATGGGAAGATATATCCTTTTTCAACATAGGCCTGAAAGCGCTCCAAATGTCCACTTCCAGATACTACAAAAAGAGTGTTTCAAATCTGCTCTATGAATGGGAATGTTCTACTCTGTGACTTGAATGCAACATCCCAAAGAAGTTTCTGAGAATGCTTCTGTCTAGAGTTTATCTGAAGACATCCCCGTTTCCAACGAAATCCTCAAAGCTATCCAAATATCCTCTTGCAGATTCTACAAAAAGAGTGTTTCAAAGCTGCTCTTTGCAAAGAAAGGTTCAACTCTGTCAGTAGAGGGCACACATCACGAACAAGTTTCTGAGAATGCTTCTGTCTAGTTTTTATGGGAAGAGATTTCCTTTTTCACGTTAGGCCTGAAAGCACGCCAAATGTTCACTTATAGACACTACAAAAAGAGTGTTTCAAACCTGCTCTGTGAAAGGGAATGTTCAACACTGTGACTTCAATTGAAACATCCCAAAGAAGTTTCTGAGAATGCTTCTGTCTAGAGTTTATCTGAAGACATTCCCGTTTCCCAAGAAATCCTCAAAGCTATCCAAATATCCTCTTGCAGATTCTACAAAAAGAGTGTTTCAAAACTGCTCTTTGCAAAGAAAGGTTCAACTCTGTCAGTAGAGGGCACACATCAAGAACAAGTTTCTGAGAATGCTTCTGTCTAGTTTTTATGGGAAGATATTTCCTTTTTCACGTTACGCCTGAAAGCACGCCAAATGTTCACTTATAGACACTACAAAAAGAGAGTTTCAAACCTGCTCTGTGAAAGGGAGTGTTCAATTCTGTGACTTGAATGCAAACATCACAAAGTAGTTTCTGACAATGCTGCTGTCTGCTTTTTATACGTATTCCCGTTTCCAACGAAATCCTCCAAGCTGGCCTAATACCCACTTGCATATTCCACAAAAGGAGTGTTTCAAAACTGCTCTCTCAAAAGAAAGGTTCAACTCTGTTTGCTGAGTAGATACATCATGAAAAAAGTTCTGACATTGCTTCTATCTAGTTTTTATTGGAAGATATCTCCTTTTTCACCGTAGACCTGAAAGCGCTCCAAATGTCCACTTCCAGATAGTACAAAAAGAGGGTTTCAAACCTGCTCTATGAAAGGGAATGTTCAACACTGGGACTTCAATTGAAACATCCCAAAGCAGTTTCTGAGAATGCTTCTGTGTAGAGTTTACATGAAGACATTCCCGTTTCCAACGAAATCCTCAAAGCTATCCAAATATCCTCTTGCAGATTTTACAAAAAGTGTGTTTCAGAACTGCTCTATCAAAACAAAGGTTCAACACTGTCAGTTGAGGGCACACATCACAAATAAGTTTCTGAGAATGCTTCTGTCTAGTTTTCATGGGAAGATATTTCCTTTTTCACCATAGGCCTGAAAGCGATCCAAATGTCCACATCCAGATACTACAAAAAGAGTGTTTCAAACCTGCTCTATGAAAGGGAATGTTCAACTCTGTGACTTGAATGCAAACATCACAAAGAAGTTTCTGAGAATGCTGCTGTCTGCTTTTTGTATGTAATCCCGTTTCCAACGAAATCCTCCCAGCTAGCCAAATATCCACTTGCAGATTCCGCAAAAAGAGTGTTTCAAAACTGCTCCTTCAAAACGATGGTTTAGTTCTGTTAGTTGAGTACATACATCACAGATAAGTTTCTGAGAATGCTTCTGTCTAGTTTTTATGGGAGGATATTTCCTTTTTCAACACAAGCCTGAATGCGCTCCGAATGGACACTTCCAGATATGACAAAAGGCGTGTTTCAAACCTGCTCTCTCAAAGGGAATGTTCAACTCTGTGACTTCAATGCAAACATCACAAAGAAGTTTCTGAGAATGCTGCTGTCTGCTTTTTACATGTATTCCCGTTTCCAACGAAATCCTCAAAGCTGCCCTAATATCCACTTGCATATTCCACAAAAAGAGTGTTGCAAAACTGCTCTCTCAAAAGAAAGGTTCAACTCTGTTAGCTGAGTAGATCCATCACATAAAAGTTTCTGACATTGCTTCTATCTAGATTTTCTTGGAAGATATTTCCATTTTCACCGTCGTCCTGAAAGCGCTCCAAATGTCCACTTCCAGGGAATGCAGAAAGAGTGTTTCCAACCTGCTCTATAAAAGGGAATGTTCAACACTGGGACTTCAATCGAAACATCCCAACGAAGTTTCTGAGAATGCTTCTGTCTAGAGTTTATATGAAGCCATTCCCGTTTGCAACGAAATCCTCAAAGCTATCCAAATATCCTCTTGCAGATTTTACAAAAAGAGTGTTTCAAAACTGCTCTATCAAAAGAAAGGTTCAACTCTGTTAGTTGAGGGCACACATCACAAATAAACTTCTGAGAATGCTTCTGTCTAGTTTTTACGGGAAGATATTTCCTTTTTCACCATACGCCTGAAAGCGCTCCAAATGTCCTCATCCAGATACTACAAAAAGAGTGTTTCCAACCTGCTCTATGAAAGGGAATGCTCAACTCTGTGAATTGAATGCAGACATCACAAAGAAGTTTCTGAGAATGCTGCTGTCTCCTTTGTATATGTAATCCCGTTTCCAACGAAATCCTCAAAGCTAGCCAAATATCCACTTGCAGATTCCACGAAAACAGTGTTTCAAAACTGCTCCTTCAAAACGATGGTTCAATCCTGTTAGTTGAGCAAACACATCACAAATAAGTTTCTGAGAATGCTTCCGTCTAGTTTTTATGGGAAGATATTTCCTTTTTCAACATAGGCCTGAAAGCGCTCCAAATGTCCACTTCCAGATACTACAAAAAGAGTGTTTCAAATCTGCTCTATGAATGGGAATGTTCTACTCTGTGACTTGAATGCAACATCCCAAAGAAGTTTCTGAGAATGCTTCTGTCTAGAGTTTATCTGAAGACATACCCGTTTCCAACGAAATCCTCCAAGCTATCCAAATATCCTCTTGCAGATTCTACAAAAAGTGTGTTTCAAAGCTGCTCTTTGCAAAGAAAGGTTCAACTCTGTCAGTAGAGGGCACACATCACGAACAAGTTTCTGAGAATGCTTCTGTCTGGTTTTTATGGGAAGATATTTCCTTTTTCACGTTACGCCTGAAAGCACGCCAAATGTTCACTTATAGACACTACAAAAAGAGTGTTTCAAACCTGCTCTGTGAAAGGGAATGTTCAACACTGTGACTTCAATTGAAACATCCCAAAGAAGTTTCTGAGAATGCTTCTGTCTAGAGTTTATCTGAAGACATTCCCGTTTCCCAAGAAATCCTCAAAGCTATCCAAATATCCTCTTGCAGATTCTACAAAAAGAGTGTTTCAAAACTGCTCTTTGCAAAGAAAGGTTCAACTCTGTCAGTAGAGGGCACACATCACAAACAAGTTTCTGAGAATGCTTCTGTCTAGTTTTTATGGGAAGATATTTCCTTTTTCACCTTAGGCCTGAAAGCAATCCAAATGTTCACTTACAGACACTACAAAAAGAGTGTTTCAAACCTGCTCTGTGAAAGGGAGTGTTCAATTCTGTGACTTGAATGCAAACATCACAAAGTAGTTTCTGACAATGCTGCTGTCTGCTTTTTATACGTATTACCGTTTCCAACGAAATCCTCCAAGCTGGCCTAATACCCACTTGCATATTCCACAAAAATAGTGTTTCAAAACTGCTCCCTCAAAAGAAAGGTTCAACTCTGTTTGCTGAGTAGATACATCATGAAAAAAGTTCTGACATTGCTTCTATCTAGTTTTTATTGGAAGATATCTCCTTTTTCACCGTAGACCTGAAAGCGCTCCAAATGTCCACTTCCAGATAGTACAAAAAGAGTGTTTCAAACCTGCTCTATGAAAGGGAATGTTCAACACTGGGACTTCAATTGAAACATCCCAAAGCAGTTTCTGAGAATGCTTCTGTCTAGAGTTTACATGAAGACATTCCCGTTTCCAACGAAATCCTCAAAGCTATCCAAATATCCTCTTGCAGATTTTACAAAAAGTGTGTTTCAGAACTGCTCTATCAAAACAAAGGTTCAACACTGTCAGTTGAGGGCACACATCACAAATAAGTTTCTGAGAATGCTTCTGTCTAGTTTTCATGGGAAGATATTTCCTTTTTCACCATAGGCCTGAAAGCGATCCAAATGTCCACATCCAGATACTACAAAAAGAGTGTTTCAAACCTGCTCTATGAAAGGGAATGTTCAACTCTGTGACTTGAATGCAAACATCACAAAGAAGTTTCTGAGAATGCTGCTGTCTGCTTTTTGTATGTAATCCCGTTTCCAACGAAATCCTCCCAGCTAGCCAAATATCCACTTGCAGATTCCGCAAAAAGAGTGTTTCTAAACTGCCCTTCAAAACGATGGTTTAGTTCTGTTAGTTGAGTACATACATCACAGATAAGTTTCTGAGAATGCTTCTGTCTAGTTTTTATGGGAGGATATTTCCTTTTTCAACACAAGCCTGAATGCGCTCCGAATGGACACTTCCAGATATGACAAAAGGCGTGTTTCAAACCTGCTCTCTCAAAGGGAATGTTCAACTCTGTGACTTCAATGCAAACATCACAAAGAAGTTTCTGAGAATGCTGCTGTCTGCTTTTTACATGTATTCCCGTTTCCAACGAAATCCTCAAAGCTGCCCTAATATCCACTTGCATATTCCACAAAAAGAGTGTTGCAAAACTGCTCTCTCAAAAGAAAGGTTCAACTCTGTTAGCTGAGTAGATCCATCACATAAAAGTTTCTGACGTTGCTTCTATCTAGATTTTCTTGGAAGATATTTCCATTTTCACCGTCGTCCTGAAAGCGCTCCAAATGTCCACTTCCAGGGAATGCAGAAAGAGTGTTTCCAACCTGCTCTATAAAAGGGAATGTTCAACACTGGGACTTCAATCGAAACATCCCAACGAAGTTTCTGAGAATGCTTCTGTCTAGAGTTTATACGAAGCCATTCCCGTTTGCAACGAAATCCTCAAAGCTATCCAAATATCCTCTTGCAGATTTTACAAAAAGAGTGTTTCAAAACTGCTCTATCAAAAGAAAGGTTCAACTCTGTTAGTTGAGGGCACACATCACAAATAAATTTCTGAGAATCTTCTGTCTAGTTTTTACGGGAAGATATTTCCTTTTTCACCATACGCCTGAAAGCGCTCCAAATGTCCTCATCCAGATACTACAAAAAGAGTGTTTCCAACCTGCTCTATGAAAGGGAATGCTCAACTCTGTGAATTGAATGCAGACATCACAAAGAAGTTTCTGAGGAATGCTGCTGTCTCCTTTGTATATGTAATCCCGTTTCCAACGAAATCCTCAAAGCTAGCCAAATATCCACTTGCAGATTCCACGAAAACAGTGTTTCAAAACTGCTCCTTCAAAACGATGGTTCAATCCTGTTAGATGAGCAAACACATCACAAATAAGTTTCTGAGAATGCTTCCGTCTAGTTTTTATGGGAAGATATTTCCTTTTTCAACATAGGCCTGAAAGCGCTCCAAATGTCCACTTCCAGATACTACAAAAAGAGTGTTTCAAATCTGCTCTATGAATGGGAATGTTCTACTCTGTGACTTGAATGCAACATCCCAAAGAAGTTTCTGAGAATGCTTCTGTCTAGAGTTTATCTGAAGACATACCCGTTTCCAACGAAATCCTCCAAGCTATCCAAATATCCTCTTGCAGATTCTACAAAAAGTGTGTTTCAAAGCTGCTCTTTGCAAAGAAAGGTTCAACTCTGTCAGTAGAGGGCACACATCACGAACAAGTTTCTGAGAATGCTTCTGTCTAGTTTTTATGGGAAGATATTTCCTTTTTCACGTTAGGCCTGAAAGCACGCCAAATGTTCACTTATAGACACTACAAAAAGAGTGTTTCAAACCTGCTCTGTGAAAGGGAATGTTCAACACTGTGACTTCAATTGAAACATCCCAAAGAAGTTTCTGAGAATGCTTCTGTCTAGAGTTTATCTGAAGACATTCCCGTTTCCCAAGAAATCCTCAAAGCTATCCAAATATCCTCTTGCAGATTCTACAAAAAGAGTGTTTCAAAACTGCTCTTTGCAAAGAAAGGTTCAACTCTGTCAGTAGAGGGCACACATCACAAACAAGTTTCTGAGAATGCTTCTGTCTAGTTTTTATGGGAAGATATTTCCTTTTTCACCTTAGGCCTGAAAGCAATCCATATGTTCACTTACAGACACTACAAAAAGAGTGTTTCAAACCTGCTCTGTGAAAGGGAGTGTTCAATTCTGTGACTTGAATGCAAACATCACAAAGTAGTTTCTGACAATGCTGCTGTCTGCTTTTTATACGTATTCCCGTTTCCAACGAAATCCTCCAAGCTGGCCTAATACCCACTTGCATATTCCACAAAAAGAGTGTTTCAAAACTGCTCTCTCAAAAGAAAGGTTCAACTCTGTTTGCTGAGTAGATACATCATGAAAAAAGTTCTGACATTGCTTCTATCTAGTTTTTATTGGAAGATATCTCCTTTTTCACCGTAGACCTGAAAGCGCTCCAAATGTCCACTTCCAGATAGTACAAAAAGAGTGTTTCAAACCTGCTCTATGAATGGGAATGTTCAACACTGGGACTTCAATTGAAACATCCCAAAGCAGTTTCTGAGAATGCTTCTGTGTAGAGTTTACATGAAGACATTCCCGTTTCCAACGAAATCCTCAAAGCTATCCAAATATCCTCTTGCAGATTTTACAAAAAGTGTGTTTCAGAACTGCTCTATCAAAACAAAGGTTCAACACTGTCAGTTGAGGGCACACATCACAAATAAGTTTCTGAGAATGCTTCTGTCTAGTTTTCATGGGAAGATATTTCCTTTTTCACCATAGGCCTGAAAGCGATCCAAATGTCCACATCCAGATACTACAAAAAGAGTGTTTCAAACCTGCTCTATGAAAGGGAATGTTCAACTCTGTGACTTGAATGCAAACATCACAAAGAAGTTTCTGAGAATGCTGCTGTCTGCTTTTTGTATGTAATCCCGTTTCCAACGAAATCCTCCCAGCTAGCCAAATATCCACTTGCAGATTCCGCAAAAAGAGTGTTTCAAAACTGCTCCTTCAAAACGATGGTTTAGTTCTGTTAGTTGAGTACATACATCACAGATAAGTTTCTGAGAATGCTTCTGTCTAGTTTTTATGGGAGGATATTTCCTTTTTCAACACAAGCCTGAATGCGCTCCGAATGGACACTTCCAGATATGACAAAAGGCGTGTTTCAAACCTGCTCTCTCAAAGGGAATGTTCAACTCTGTGACTTCAATGCAAACATCACAAAGAAGTTTCTGAGAATGCTGCTGTCTGCTTTTTACATGTATTCCCGTTTCCAACGAAATCCTCAAAGCTGCCCTAATATCCACTTGCATATTCCACAAAAAGAGTGTTGCAAAACTGCTCTCTCAAAAGAAAGGTTCAACTCTGTTAGCTGAGTAGATCCATCACAGAAAAGTTTCTGACGTTGCTTCTATCTAGATTTTCTTGGAAGATATTTCCATTTTCACCGTCGTCCTGAAAGCGCTCCAAATGTCCACTTCCAGGGAATGCAGAAAGAGTGTTTCCAACCTGCTCTATAAAAGGGAATGTTCAACACTGGGACTTCAATCGAAACATCCCAACGAAGTTTCTGAGAATGCTTCTGTCTAGAGTTTATATGAAGCCATTCCCGTTTGCAACGAAATCCTCAAAGCTATCCAAATATCCTCTTGCAGATTTTACAAAAAGAGTGTTTCAAAACTGCTCTATCAAAAGAAAGGTTCAACTCTGTTAGTTGAGGGCACACATCACAAATAAATTTCTGAGAATCTTCTGTCTAGTTTTTACGGGAAGATATTTCCTTTTTCACCATACGCCTGAAAGCGCTCCAAATGTCCTCATCCAGATACTACAAAAAGAGTGTTTCCAACCTTCTCTATGAAAGGGAATGCTCAACTCTGTGACTTGAATGCAGACATCACAAAGAAGTTTCTGAGAATGCTGCTGTCTCCTTTTTATATGTAATCCCGTTTCCAACGAAATCCTCAAAGCTAGCCAAATATCCACTTGCAGATTCCACGAAAACAGTGTTTCAAAACTGCTCCTTCAAAACGATGGTTCAATCCTGTTAGTTGAGCAAACACATCACAAATAAGTTTCTGAGAATGCTTCCGTCTAGTTTTTATGGGAAGATATTTCCTTTTTCAACATAGGCCTGAAAGCGCTCCAAATGTCCACTTCCAGATACTACAAAAAGAGTGTTTCAAATCTGCTCTATGAATGGGAATGTTCTACTCTGTGACTTGAATGCAACATCCCAAAGAAGTTTCTGAGAATGCTTCTGTCTAGAGTTTATCTGAAGACATACCCGTTTCCAACGAAATCCTCCAAGCTATCCAAATATCCTCTTGCAGATTCTACAAAAAGTGTGTTTCAAAGCTGCTCTTTGCAAAGAAAGGTTCAACTCTGTCAGTAGAGGGCACACATCACGAACAAGTTTCTGAGAATGCTTCTGTCTAGTTTTTATGGGAAGATATTTCCTTTTTCACGTTAGGCCTGAAAGCACGCCAAATGTTCACTTATAGACACTACAAAAAGAGTGTTTCAAACCTGCTCTGTGAAAGGGAATGTTCAACACTGTGACTTCAATTGAAACATCCCAAAGAAGTTTCTGAGAATGCTTCTGTCTAGAGTTTATCTGAAGACATTCCCGTTTCCCAAGAAATCCTCAAAGCTATCCAAATATCCTCTTGCAGATTCTACAAAAAGAGTGTTTCAAAACTGGTCTTTGCAAAGAAAGGTTCAACTCTGTCAGTAGAGGGCACACATCACAAACAAGTTTCTGAGAATGCTTCTGTCTAGTTTTTATGGGAAGATATTTCCTTTTTCACCTTAGGCCTGAAAGCAATCCATATGTTCACTTACAGACACTACAAAAAGAGTGTTTCAAACCTGCTCTGTGAAAGGGAGTGTTCAATTCTGTGACTTGAATGCAAACATCACAAAGTAGTTTCTGACAATGCTGCTGTCTGCTTTTTATACGTATTCCCGTTTCCAACGAAATCCTCCAAGCTGGCCTAATACCCACTTGCATATTCCACAAAAAGAGTGTTTCAAAACTGCTCTCTCAAAAGAAAGGTTCAACTCTGTTTGCTGAGTAGATACATCATGAAAAAAGTTCTGACATTGCTTCTATCTAGTTTTCATTGGAAGATATCTCCTTTTTCACCGCAGACCTGAAAGCGCTCCAAATGTCCACTTCCAGATACTACAAAAAGAGTGTTTCAAACCTGCTCTATGAAAGGGAATGTTCAACACTGTGACTTCAATTGAAACATCCCAAAGCAGTTTCTGAGAATGCTTTCTGTCTAGAGTTTACATGAAGACATTCCCGTTTCCAACGAAATCCTCAAAGCTATCCAAATATCCTCTTGCAGATTTTACAAAAAGTGTGTTTCAGAACTGCTCTATCAAAACAAAGGTTCAACACTGTCAGTTGAGGGCACACATCACAAATAAGTTTCTGAGAATGCTTCTGTCTAGTTTTCATGGGAAGATATTTCCTTTTTCACCATAGGCCTGAAAGCGATCCAAATGTCCACATCCAGATACTACAAAAAGAGTGTTTCAAACCTGCTCTATGAAAGGGAATGTTCAACTCTGTGACTTGAATGCAAACATCACAAAGAAGTTTCTGAGAATGCTGCTGTCTGCTTTTTGTATGTAATCCCGTTTCCAACGAAATCCTCCCAGCTAGCCAAATATCCACTTGCAGATTCCGCAAAAAGAGTGTTTCAAAACTGCTCCTTCAAAACGATGGTTTAGTTCTGTTAGTTGAGTACATACATCACAGATAAGTTTCTGAGAATGCTTCTGTCTAGTTTTTATGGGAGGATATTTCCTTTTTCAACACAAGCCTGAATGCGCTCCGAATGGACACTTCCAGATATGACAAAAGGCGTGTTTCAAACCTGCTCTCTCAAAGGGAATGTTCAACTCTGTGACTTCAATGCAAACATCACAAAGAAGTTTCTGAGAATGCTGCTGTCTGCTTTTTACATGTATTCCCGTTTCCAACGAAATCCTCAAAGCTGCCCTAATATCCACTTGCATATTCCACAAAAAGAGTGTTGCAAAACTGCTCTCTCAAAAGAAAGGTTCAACTCTGTTAGCTGAGTAGATCCATCACATAAAAGTTTCTGACGTTGCTTCTATCTAGATTTTCTTGGAAGATATTTCCATTTTCACCGTCGTCCTGAAAGCGCTCCAAATGTCCACTTCCAGGGAATGCAGAAAGAGTGTTTCCAACCTGCTCTATAAAAGGGAATGTTCAACACTGGGACTTCAATCGAAACATCCCAACGAAGTTTCTGAGAATGCTTCTGTCTAGAGTTTATATGAAGCCATTCCCGTTTGCAACGAAATCCTCAAAGCTATCCAAATATCCTCTTGCAGATTTTACAAAAAGAGTGTTTCAAAACTGCTCTATCAAAAGAAAGGTTCAACTCTGTTAGTTGAGGGCACACATCACAAATAAACTTCTGAGAATGCTTCTGTCTAGTTTTTACGGGAAGATATTTCCCTTTTCACCATACGCCTGAAAGCGCTCCAAATGTCCTCATCCAGATACTACAAAAAGAGTGTTTCCAACCTGCTCTATGAAAGGGAATGCTCAACTCTGTGAATTGAATGCAGACATCACAAAGAAGTTTCTGAGAATGCTGCTGTCTCCTTTGTATATGTAATCCCGTTTCCAACGAAATCCTCAAAGCTAGCCAAATATCCACTTGCAGATTCCACGAAAACAGTGTTTCAAAACTGCTCCTTCAAAACGATGGTTCAATCCTGTTAGTTGAGCAAACACATCACAAATAAGTTTCTGAGAATGCTTCCGTCTAGTTTTTATGGGAAGATATTTCCTTTTTCAACATAGGCCTGAAAGCGCTCCAAATGTCCACTTCCAGATACTACAAAAAGAGTGTTTCAAATCTGCTCTATGAATGGGAATGTTCTACTCTGTGACTTGAATGCAACATCCCAAAGAAGTTTCTGAGAATGCTTCTGTCTAGAGTTTATCTGAAGACATACCCGTTTCCAACGAAATCCTCAAAGCTATCCAAATATCCTCTTGCAGATTCTACAAAAAGAGTGTTTCAAAGCTGCTCTTTGCAAAGAAAGGTTCAACTCTGTCAGTAGAGGGGACACATCAAGAACAAGTTTCTGAGAATGCTTCTGTCTAGTTTTTATGGGAAGATATTTCCTTTTTCACGTTAGGCCTGAAAGCACGCCAAATGTTCACTTATAGACACTACAAAAAGAGTGTTTCAAACCTGCTCTGTGAAAGGGAATGTTCAACACTGTGACTTCAATTGAAACATCCCAAAGAAGTTTCTGAGAATGCTTCTGTCTAGAGTTTATCTGAAGACATACCCGTTTCCAACGAAATCCTAAAAGCTATCCACATATCCTCTTGCAGATTCTACAAAAAGAGTGTTTCAAAGCTGCTCTTTGCAAAGAAAGGTTCAACTCTGTCAGTAGAGGGCACACATCGCGAACAAGTTTCTGAGAATGCTTCTGTCTAGTTTTTATGGGAAGATATTTCCTTTTTCACGTTAGGCCTGAAAGCACGCCAAATGTTCAATTATAGACACTACAAAAAGAGTGTTTCAAACCTGCTCTGTGAAAGGGAATGTTCAACACTGTGACTTCAATTGAAACATCCCAAAGAAGTTTCTGAGAATGCTTCTGTCTAGAGTTTATCTGAAGACATTCCCGTTTCCCAAGAAATCCTCAAAGCTATCCAAATATCCTCTTGCAGATTCTACAAAAAGAGTGTTTCAAAACTGCTCTTTGCAAAGAAAGGTTCAACTCTGTCAGTAGAGGGCACACATCACGAACAAGTTTCTGAGAATGCTTCTGTCTAGTTTTTATGGGAAGATATTTCCTTTTTCACGTTACGCCTGAAAGCACGCCAAATGTTCACTTATAGACACTACAAAAAGAGAGTTTCAAACCTGCTCTGTGAAAGGGAGTGTTCAATTCTGTGACTTGAATGCAAACATCACAAAGTAGTTTCTGACAATGCTGCTGTCTGCTTTTTATACGTATTCCCGTTTCCAACGAAATCCTCCAAGCTGGCCTAATACCCACTTGCATATTCCACAAAAGGAGTGTTTCAAAACTGCTCTCTCAAAAGAAAGGTTCAACTCTGTTTGCTGAGTAGATACATCATGAAAAAAGTTCTGACATTGCTTCTATCTAGTTTTTATTGGAAGATATCTCCTTTTTCACCGTAGACCTGAAAGCGCTCCAAATGTCCACTTCCAGATAGTACAAAAAGAGGGTTTCAAACCTGCTCTATGAAAGGGAATGTTCAACACTGGGACTTCAATTGAAACATCCCAAAGCAGTTTCTGAGAATGCTTCTGTGTAGAGTTTACATGAAGACATTCCCGTTTCCAACGAAATCCTCAAAGCTATCCAAATATCCTCTTGCAGATTTTACAAAAAGTGTGTTTCAGAACTGCTCTATCAAAACAAAGGTTCAACACTGTCAGTTGAGGGCACACATCACAAATAAGTTTCTGAGAATGCTTCTGTCTAGTTTTCATGGGAAGATATTTCCTTTTTCACCATAGGCCTGAAAGCGATCCAAATGTCCACATCCAGATACTACAAAAAGAGTGTTTCAAACCTGCTCTATGAAAGGGAATGTTCAACTCTGTGACTTGAATGCAAACATCACAAAGAAGTTTCTGAGAATGCTGCTGTCTGCTTTTTGTATGTAATCCCGTTTCCAACGAAATCCTCCCAGCTAGCCAAATATCCACTTGCAGATTCCTCAAAAAGAGTGTTTCAAAACTGCCCTTCAAAACGACGGTTTAGTTCTGTTAGTTGAGTACATACATCACAGATAAGTTTCTGAGAATGCTTCTGTCTAGTTTTTATGGGAGGATATTTCCTTTTTCAACACAAGCCTGAATGCGCTCCGAATGGACACTTCCAGATATGACAAAAGGTGTGTTTCAAACCTGCTCTCTCAAAGGGAATGTTCAACTCTGTGACTTCAATGCAAACATCACAAAGAAGTTTCTGAGAATGCTGCTGTCTGCTTTTTACATGTATTCCCGTTTCCAACGAAATCCTCAAAGCTGCCCTAATATCCACTTGCATATTCCACAAAAAGAGTGTTGCAAAACTGCTCTCTCAAAAGAAAGGTTCAACTCTGTTAGCTGAGTAGATCCATCACATAAAAGTTTCTGACGTTGCTTCTATCTAGATTTTATTGGAAGATATTTCCATTTTCACCGTCGTCCTGAAAGCGCTCCAAATGTCCACTTCCAGGGAATGCAGAAAGAGTGTTTCCAACCTGCTCTATAAAAGGGAATGTTCAACACTGGGACTTCAATCGAAACATCCCAACGAAGTTTCTGAGAATGCTTCTGTCTAGAGTTTATATGAAGCCATTCCCGTTTGCAACGAAATCCTCAAAGCTATCCAAATATCCTCTTGCAGATTTTACAAAAAGAGTGTTTCAAAACTGCTCTATCAAAAGAAAGGTTCAACTCTGTTAGTTGAGGGCACACATCACAAATAAATTTCTGAGAATGCTTCTGTCTAGTTTTTACGGGAAGATATTTCCTTTTTCACCATACGCCTGAAAGCGCTCCAAATGTCCTCATCCAGATACTACAAAAAGAGTGTTTCCAACCTGCTCTATGAAAGGGAATGCTCAACTCTGTGAATTGAATGCAGACATCACAAAGAAGTTTCTGAGAATGCTGCTGTCTCCTTTTTATATGTAATCCCGTTTCCAACGAAATCCTCAAAGCTAGCCAAATATCCACTTGCAGATTCCACGAAAACAGTGTTTCAAAACTGCTCCTTCAAAACGATGGTTCAATTCTGTTAGTTGAGCAAACACATCACAAGTAAGTTTCTGAGAATGCTTCCGTCTAGTTTTTATGGGAAGATATTTCCTTTTTCAACATAGGCCTGAAAGCGCTCCAAATGTCCACTTCCAGATACTACAAAAAGAGTGTTTCAAATCTGCTCTATGAATGGGAATGTTCTACTCTGTGACTTGAATGCAACATCCCAAAGAAGTTTCTGAGAATGCTTCTGTCTAGAGTTTATCTGAAGACATACCCGTTTCCAACGAAATCCTCAAAGCTATCCAAATATCCTCTTGCAGATTCTACAAAAAGTGTGTTTCAAAGCTGCTCTTTGCAAAGAAAGGTTCAACTCTGTCAGTAGAGGGCACACATCACGAACAAGTTTCTGAGAATGCTTCTGTCTAGTTTTTATGGGAAGATATTTCCTTTTTCACGTTAGGCCTGAAAGCACGCCAAATGTTCACTTATACACACTACAAAAAGAGTGTTTCAAACCTGCTCTGTGAAAGGGAATGTTCAACACTGTGACTTCAATTGAAACATCCCAAAGAAGTTTCTGAGAATGCTTCTGTCTAGAGTTTATCTGAAGACATTCCCGTTTCCCAAGAAATCCTCAAAGCTATCCAAATATCCTCTTGCAGATTCTACAAAAAGAGTGTTTCAAAACTGCTCTTTGCAAAGAAAGGTTCAACTCTGTCAGTAGAGGGCACACATCACAAACAAGTTTCTGAGAATGCTTCTGTCTAGTTTTTATGGGAAGATATTTCCTTTTTCACCTTAGGCCTGAAAGCAATCCAAATGTTCACTTACAGACACTACAAAAAGAGTGTTTCAAACCTGCTCTGTGAAAGGGAGTGTTCAATTCTGTGACTTGAATGCAAACATCACAAAGTAGTTTCTGACAATGCTGCTGTCTGCTTTTTATACGTATTCCCGTTTCCAAGGGAAATCCTCCAAGCTGGCCTAATACCCACTTGCATATTCCACAAAAAGAGTGTTTCAAAACTGCTCTCTCAAAAGAAAGGTTCAACTCTGTTTGCTGAGTAGATACATCATGAAAAAAGTTCTGACATTGCTTCTATCTAGTTTTTATTGGAAGATATCTCCTTTTTCACCGTAGACCTGAAAGCGCTCCAAATGTCCACTTCCAGATAGTACAAAAAGAGTGTTTCAAAACTGCTCTATGAATGGGAATGTTCAACACTGGGACTTCAATTGAAACATCCCAAAGCAGTTTCTGAGAATGCTTCTGTGTAGAGTTTACATGAAGACATTCCCGTTTCCAACGAAATCCTCAAAGCTATCCAAATATCCTCTTGCAGATTTTACAAAAAGTGTGTTTCAGAACTGCTCTATCAAAACAAAGGTTCAACACTGTCAGTTGAGGGCACACATCACAAATAAGTTTCTGAGAATGCTTCTGTCTAGTTTTCATGGGAAGATATTTCCTTTTTCACCATAGGCCTGAAAGCGATCCAAATGTCCACATCCAGATACTACAAAAAGAGTGTTTCAAACCTGCTCTATGAAAGGGAATGTTCAACTCTGTGACTTGAATGCAAACATCACAAAGAAGTTTCTGAGAATGCTGCTGTCTGCTTTTTGTATGTAATCCCGTTTCCAACGAAATCCTCCCAGCTAGCCAAATATCCACTTGCAGATTCCGCAAAAAGAGTGTTTCAAAACTGCTCCTTCAAAAGGATGGTTTAGTTCTGTTAGTTGAGTACATACATCACAGATAAGTTTCTGAGAATGCTTCTGTCTAGTTTTTATGGGAGGATATTTCCTTTTTCAACACAAGCCTGAATGCGCTCCGAATGGACACTTCCAGATATGACAAAAGGCGTGTTTCAAACCTGCTCTCTCAAAGGGAATGTTCAACTCTGTGACTTCAATGCAAACATCACAAAGAAGTTTCTGAGAATGCTGCTGTCTGCTTTTTACATGTATTCCCGTTTCCAACGAAATCCTCAAAGCTGCCCTAATATCCACTTGCATATTCCACAAAAAGAGTGTTGCAAAACTGCTCTCTCAAAAGAAAGGTTCAACTCTGTTAGCTGAGTAGATCCATCACAGAAAAGTTTCTGACGTTGCTTCTATCTAGATTTTCTTGGAAGATATTTCCATTTTCACCGTCGTCCTGAAAGCGCTCCAAATGTCCACTTCCAGGGAATGCAGAAAGAGTGTTTCCAACCTGCTCTATAAAAGGGAATGTTCAACACTGGGACTTCAATCGAAACATCCCAACGAAGTTTCTGAGAATGCTTCTGTCTAGAGTTTATATGAAGCCATTCCCGTTTGCAACGAAATCCTCAAAGCTATCCAAATATCCTCTTGCAGATTTTACAAAAAGAGTGTTTCAAAACTGCTCTATCAAAAGAAAGGTTCAACTCTGTTAGTTGAGGGCACACATCACAAATAAATTTCTGAGAATGCTTCTGTCTAGTTTTTACGGGAAGATATTTCCTTTTTCACCATACGCCTGAAAGCGCTCCAAATGTCCTCATCCAGATACTACAAAAAGAGTGTTTCCAACCTGCTCTATGAAAGGGAATGCTCAACTCTGTGACTTGAATGCAGACATCACAAAGAAGTTTCTGAGAATGCTGCTGTCTCCTTTTTATATGTAATCCCGTTTCCAACGAAATCCTCAAAGCTAGCCAAATATCCACTTGCAGATTCCACGAAAACAGTGTTTCAAAACTGCTCCTTCAAAACGATGGTTCAATTCTGTTAGTTGAGCAAACACATCACAAGTAAGTTTCTGAGAATGCTTCCGTCTAGTTTTTATGGGAAGATATTTCCTTTTTCAACATAGGCCTGAAAGCGCTCCAAATGTCCACTTCCAGATACTACAAAAAGAGTGTTTCAAATCTGCTCTATGAATGGGAATGTTCTACTCTGTGACTTGAATGCAACATCCCAAAGAAGTTTCTGAGAATGCTTCTGTCTAGAGTTTATCTGAAGACATACCCGTTTCCAACGAAATCCTCAAAGCTATCCAAATATCCTCTTGCAGATTCTACAAAAAGAGTGTTTCAAAGCTGCTCTTTGCAAAGAAAGGTTCAACTCTGTCAGTAGAGGGCACACATCATGAACAAGTTTCTGAGAATGCTTCTGTCTAGTTTTTATGGGAAGATATTTCCTTTTTCACGTTAGGCCTGAAAGCACGCCAAATGTTCACTTATAGACACTACAAAAAGAGTGTTTCAAACCTGCTCTGTGAAAGGGAATGTTCAACACTGTGACTTCAATTGAAACATCCCAAAGAAGTTTCTGAGAATGCTTCTGTCTAGAGTTTATCTGAAGACATACCCGTTTCCAACGAAATCCTCAAAGCTATCCACATATCCTCTTGCAGATTCTACAAAAAGAGTGTTTCAAAGCTGCTCTTTGCAAAGAAAGGTTCAACTCTGTCAGTAGAGGGCACACATCACGAACAAGTTTCTGAGAATGCTTCTGTCTAGTTTTTATGGGAAGATATTTCCTTTTTCACGTTAGGCCTGAAAGCACGCCAAATGTTCAATTATAGACACTACAAAAAGAGTGTTTCAAACCTGCTCTGTGAAAGGGAATGTTCAACACTGTGACTTCAATTGAAACATCCCAAAGAAGTTTCTGAGAATGCTTCTGTCTAGAGTTTATCTGAAGACATTCCCGTTTCCCAAGAAATCCTCAAAGCTATCCAAATATCCTCTTGCAGATTCTACAAAAAGAGTGTTTCAAAACTGCTCTTTGCAAAGAAAGGTTCAACTCTGTCAGTAGAGGGCACACATCACAAACAAGTTTCTGAGAATGCTTCTGTCTAGTTTTTATGGGAAGATATTTCCTTTTTCACCTTAGGCCTGAAAGCAATCCAAATGTTCACTTACAGACACTACAAAAAGAGTGTTTCAAACCGGCTCTGTGAAAGGGAGTGTTCAATTCTGTGACTTGAATGCAAACATCACAAAGTAGTTTCTGACAATGCTGCTGTCTGCTTTTTATACGTAATCCCGTTTCCAACGAAATCCTTCAAGCTGGCCTAATACCCACTTGCATATTCCACAAAAAGAGTGTTTCAAAACTGCTCTCTCAAAAGAAAGGTTCAACTCTGTTTGCTGAGTAGATACATCATGAAAAAAGTTCTGACATTGCTTCTATCTAGTTTTTATTGGAAGATATCTCCCTTTTCACCGTAGACCTGAAAGCGCTCCAAATGTCCACTTCCAGATACTACAAAAAGAGTGTTTCAAACCTGCTCTATGAAAGGGAATGTTCAACACTGGGACTTCAATTGAAACATCCCAAAGCAGTTTCTGAGAATGCTTCTGTCTAGAGTTTACATGAAGACATTCCCGTTTCCAACGAAATCCTCAAAGCTATCCAAATATCCTCTTGCAGATTTTACAAAAAGTGTGTTTCAGAACTGCTCTATCAAAACAAAGGTTCAACACTGTCAGTTGAGGGCACACATCACAAATAAGTTTCTGAGAATGCTTCTGTCTAGTTTTCATGGGAAGATATTTCCTTTTTCACCATAGGCCTGAAAGCGATCCAAATGTCCACATCCAGATACTACAAAAAGAGTGTTTCAAACCTGCTCTATGAAAGGGAATGTTCAACTCTGCGACTTGAATGCAAACATCACAAAGAAGTTTCTGAGAATGCTGCTGTCTGCTTTTTTATGTAATCCCGTTTCCAACGAAATCCTCCCAGCTAGCCAAATATCCACTTGCAGATTCCGCAAAAAGAGTGTTTCAAAACTGCTCCTTCAAAACGATGGTTTAGTTCTGTTAGTTGAGTACATACATCACAAATAAGTTTCTGAGAATGCTTCTGTCTAGTTTTTATGGGAGGATATTTCCTTTTTCAACACAAGCCTGAATGCGCTCCGAATGGACACTTCCAGATATGACAAAAGGCGTGTTTCAAACCTGCTCTCTCAAAGGGAATGTTCAACTCTGTGACTTCAATGCAAACATCACAAAGAAGTTTCTGAGAATGCTGCTGTCTGTTTTTTACATGTATTCCCGTTTCCAACGAAATCCTCAAAGCTGCCCTAATATCCACTTGCATATTCCACAAAAAGAGTGTTGCAAAACTGCTCTCTCAAAAGAAAGGTTCAACTCTGTTAGCTGAGTAGATCCATCACATAAAAGTTTCTGACGTTGCTTCTATCTAGATTTTATTGGAAGATATTTCCATTTTCACCGTCGTCCTGAAAGCGCTCCAAAGGTCCACTTCCAGGGAATGCAGAAAGAGTGTTTCCAACCTGCTCTATAAAAGGGAATGTTCAACACTGGGACTTCAATCGAAACATCCCAACGAAGTTTCTGAGAATGCTTCTGTCTAGAGTTTATATGATGCCATTCCCGTTTGCAATGAAATCCTCAAAGCTATCCAAATATCCTCTTGCAGATTTTACAAAAAGAGTGTTTCAAAACTGCTCTATCAAAAGAAAGGTTCAACTCTGTTAGTTGAGGGCACACATCACAAATAAATTTCTGAGAATGCTTCTGTCTAGTTTTTACGGGAAGATATTTCCTTTTTCACCATAGGCCTGAAAGCGCTCCAAATGTCCTCATCCAGATACTACAAAAAGAGTGTTTCCAACCTGCTCTATGAAAGGGAATGCTCAACTCTGTGAATTGAATGCAGACATCACAAAGAAGTTTCTGAGAATGCTGCTGTCTCCTTTGTATATGTAATCCCGTTTCCAACGAAATCCTCAAAGCTAGCCAAATATCCACTTGCAGATTCCACGAAAACAGTGTTTCAAAACTGCTCCTTCAAAACGATGGTTCAATTCTGTTAGTTGAGCAAACACATCACAAGTAAGTTTCTGAGAATGCTTCCGTCTAGTTTTTATGGGAAGATATTTCCTTTTTCAACATAGGCCTGAAAGCGCTCCAAATGTCCACTTCCAGATACTACAAAAAGAGTGTTTCAAATCTGCTCTATGAATGGGAATGTTCTACTCTGTGACTTGAATGCAACATCCCAAAGAAGTTTCTGAGAATGCTTCTGTCTAGAGTTTATCTGAAGACATACCCGTTTCCAACGAAATCCTCAAAGCTATCCAAATATCCTCTTGCAGATTCTACAAAAAGAGTGTTTCAAAGCTGCTCTTTGCAAAGAAAGGTTCAACTCTGTCAGTAGAGGGCACACATCATGAACAAGTTTCTGAGAATGCTTCTGTCTAGTTTTTATGGGAAGATATTTCCTTTTTCACGTTAGGCCTGAAAGCACGCCAAATGTTCACTTATAGACACTACAAAAAGAGTGTTTCAAACCTGCTCTGTGAAAGGGAATGTTCAACACTGTGACTTCAATTGAAACATCCCAAAGAAGTTTCTGAGAATGCTTCTGTCTAGAGTTTATCTGAAGACATTCCCGTTTCCCAAGAAATCCTCAAAGCTATCCAAATATCCTCTTGCAGATTCTACAAAAAGAGTGTTTCAAAACTGCTCTTTGCAAAGAAAGGTTCAACTCTGTCAGTAGAGGGCACACATCACAAACAAGTTTCTGAGAATGCTTCTGTCTAGTTTTTATGGGAAGATATTTCCTTTTTCACCTTAGGCCTGAAAGCAATCCAAATGTTCACTTACAGACACTACAAAAAGAGTGTTTCAAACCTGCTCTGTGAAAGGGAGTGTTCAATTCTGTGACTTGAATGCAAACATCACAAAGTAGTTTCTGACAATGCTGCTGTCTGCTTTTTATACGTATTCCCGTTTCCAACGAAATCCTCCAAGCTGGCCTAATACCCACTTGCATATTCCACAAAGACAGTGTCAAAACTGCTCTCTCAAAAGAAAGGTTCAACTCTGTTTGCTGAGTAGATACATCATGAAAAAAGTTCTGACATTGCTTCTATCTAGTTTTTATTGGAAGATATCTCCTTTTTCACCGTAGACCTGAAAGCGCTCCAAATGTCCACTTCCAGATAGTAGAAAAAGAGTGTTTCAAACCTGCTCTATGAATGGGAATGTTCAACACTGGGACTTCAATTGAAACATCCCAAAGCAGTTTCTGAGAATGCTTCTGTCTAGAGTTTACATGAAGACATTCCCGTTTCCAACGAAATCCTCAAAGCTATCCAAATATCCTCTTGCAGATTTTACAAAAAGTGTGTTTCAGAACTGCTCTATCAAAACAAAGGTTCAACACTGTCAGTTGAGTGCACACATCACAAATAAGTTTCTGAGAATGCTTCTGTCTAGTTTTCATGGGAAGATATTTCCTTTTTCACCATAGGCCTGAAAGCGATCCAAATGTCCACATCCAGATACTACAAAAAGAGTGTTTCCAACCTGCTCTATGAAAGGGAATGCTCAACTCTGTGAATTGAATGCAGACATCACAAAGAAGTTTCTGAGAATGCTGCTGTCTCCTTTTTATATGTAATCCCGTTTCCAACGAAATCCTCAAAGCTAGCCAAATATCCACTTGCAGATTCCACGAAAACAGTGTTTCAAAACTGCTCCTTCAAAAGGATGGTTCAATCCTGTTAGTTGAGCAAACACATCACAAATAAGTTTCTGAGAATGCTTCCGTCTAGTTTTTATGGGAAGATATTTCCTTTTTCAACATAGGCCTGAAAGCGCTCCAAATGTCCACTTCCAGATACTACAAAAAGAGTGTTTCAAATCTGCTCTATGAATGGGAATGTTCTACTCTGTGACTTGCATGCAACATCCCAAAGAAGTTTCTGAGAATGCTTCTGTCTAGGGTTCATCTGAAGACATACCCGTTTCCAACGAAATCCTCAAAGCTATCCAAATATCCTCTTGCAGATTCTACAAAAAGTGTGTTTCAAAGCTGCTCTTTGCAAAGAAAGGTTCAACTCTGTCAGTAGAGGGCACACATCACGAACAAGTTTCTGAGAATGCTTCTGTCTAGTTTTTATGGGAAGATATTTCCTTTTTCACGTTAGGCCTGAAAGCACGCCAAATGTTCACTTATAGACACTACAAAAAGAGTGTTTCAAACCTGCTCTGTGAAAGGGAATGTTCAACACTGTGACTTCAATTGAAACATCCCAAAGAAGTTTCTGAGAATGCTTCTGTCTAGAGTTTATCTGAAGACATTCCCGTTTCCCAAGAAATCCTCAAAGCTATCCAAATATCCTCTTGCAGATTCTACAAAAAGAGTGTTTCAAAACTGCTCTTTGCAAAGAAAGGTTCAACTCTGTCAGTAGAGGGCACACATCACAAACAAGTTTCTGAGAATGCTTCTGTCTAGTTTTTATGGGAAGATATTTCCTTTTTCACGTTACGCCTGAAAGCACGCCAAATGTTCACTTATAGACACTACAAAAAGAGAGTTTCAAACCTGCTCTGTGAAAGGGAGTGTTCAATTCTGTGACTTGAATGCAAACATCACAAAGTAGTTTCTGACAATGCTGCTGTCTGCTTTTTATACGTATTCCCGTTTCCAACGAAATCCTCCAAGCTGGCCTAATACCCACTTGCATATTCCACAAAAATAGTGTTTCAAAACTGCTCCCTCAAAAGAAAGGTTCAACTCTGTTTGCTGAGTAGATACATCATGAAAAAAGTTCTGACATTGCTTCTATCTAGTTGTTATTGGAAGATATCTCCTTTTTCACCGTAGACCTGAAAGCGCTCCGAATGTCCACTTCCAGATAGTACAAAAAGAGTGTTTCAAACCTGCTCTATGAAAGGGAATGTTCAACACTGGGACTTCAATTGAAACATCCCAAAGCAGTTTCTGAGAATGCTTCTGTCTAGAGTTTACATGAAGACATTCCCGTTTCCAACGAAATCCTCAAAGCTATCCAAATATCCTCTTGCAGATTTTACAAAAAGTGTGTTTCAGAACTGCTCTATCAAAACAAAGGTTCAACACTGTCAGTTGAGGGCACACATCACAAATAAGTTTCTGAGAATGCTTCTGTCTAGTTTTCATGGGAAGATATTTCCTTTTTCACCATAGGCCTGAAAGCGATCCAAATGTCCACATCCAGATACTACAAAAAGAGTGTTTCCAACCTGCTCTATGAAAGGGAATGCTCAACTCTGTGACTTGAAAGCAAACATCACAAAGAAGTTTCTGAGAATGCTGCTGTCTGCTTTTTGTATGTAATCCCGTTTCCAACGAAATCCTCCCAGCTAGCCAAATATCCACTTGCAGATTCCGCAAAAAGAGTGTTTCAAAAGTGCTCCTTCAAAACGATGGTTTAGTTCTGTTAGTTGAGTACATACATCACAGATAAGTTTCTGAGAATGCTTCTGTCTAGTTTTTATGGGAGGATATTTCCTTTTTCAACACAAGCCTGAATGCGCTCCGAATGGACACTTCCAGATATGACAAAAGGCGTGTTTCAAACCTGCTCTCTCAAAGGGAATGTTCAACTCTGTGACTTCAATGCAAACATCACAAAGAAGTTTCTGAGAATGCTGCTGTCTGCTTTTTACATGTATTCCCGTTTCCAACGAAATCCTCAAAGCTGCCCTAATATCCACTTGCATATTCCACAAAAAGAGTGTTGCAAAACTGCTCTCTCAAAAGAAAGGTTCAACTCTGTTAGCTGAGTAGATCCATCACATAAAAGTTTCTGACATTGCTTCTATCTAGATTTTCTTGGAAGATATTTCCATTTTCACCGTCGTCCTGAAAGCGCTCCAAATGTCCACTTCCAGGGAATGCAGAAAGAGTGTTTCCAACCTGCTCTATAAAAGGGAATGTTCAACACTGGGACTTCAATCGAAACATCCCAACGAAGTTTCTGAGAATGCTTCTGTCTAGAGTTTATATGAAGCCATTCCCGTTTGCAACGAAATCCTCAAAGCTATCCAAATATCCTCTTGCAGATTTTACAAAAAGAGTGTTTCAAAACTGCTCTATCAAAAGAAAGGTTCAACTCTGTTAGTTGAGGGCACACATCACAAATAAACTTCTGAGAATGCTTCTGTCTAGTTTTTACGGGAAGATATTTCCCTTTTCACCATACGCCTGAAAGCGCTCCAAATGTCCTCATCCAGATACTACAAAAAGAGTGTTTCCAACCTGCTCTATGAAAGGGAATGCTCAACTCTGTGAATTGAATGCAGACATCACAAAGAAGTTTCTGAGAATGCTGCTGTCTCCTTTTTATATGTAATCCCGTTTCCAACGAAATCCTCAAAGCTAGCCAAATATCCACTTGCAGATTCCACGAAAACAGTGTTTCAAAACTGCTCCTTCAAAACGATGGTTCAATCCTGTTAGTTGAGCAAACACATCACAAATAAGTTTCTGAGAATGCTTCCGTCTAGTTTTTATGGGAAGATATTTCCTTTTTCAACATAGGCCTGAAAGCGCTCCAAATGTCCACTTCCAGATACTACAAAAAGAGTGTTTCAAATCTGCTCTATGAATGGGAATGTTCTACTCTGTGACTTGAATGCAACATCCCAAAGAAGTTTCTGAGAATGCTTCTGTCTAGAGTTTATCTGAAGACATACCCGTTTCCAACGAAATCCTCCAAGCTATCCAAATATCCTCTTGCAGATTCTACAAAAAGAGTGTTTCAAAGCTGCTCTTTGCAAAGAAAGGTTCAACTCTGTCAGTAGAGGGGACACATCAAGAACAAGTTTCTGAGAATGCTTCTGTCTAGTTTTTATGGGAAGATATTTCCTTTTTCACGTTACGCCTGAAAGCACGCCAAATGTTCACTTATAGACACTACAAAAAGAGTGTTTCAAACCTGCTCTGTGAAAGGGAATGTTCAACACTGTGACTTCAATTGAAACATCCCAAAGAAGTTTCTGAGAATGCTTCTGTCTAGAGTTTATCTGAAGACATTCCCGTTTCCCAAGAAATCCTCAAAGCTATCCAAATATCCTCTTGCAGATTCTACAAAAAGAGTGTTTCAAAACTGCTCTTTGCAAAGAAAGGTTCAACTCTGTCAGTAGAGGGCACACATCACAAACAAGTTTCTGAGAATGCTTCTGTCTAGTTTTTATGGGAAGATATTTCCTTTTTCACCTTAGGCCTGAAAGCAATCCAAATGTTCACTTACAGACACTACAAAAAGAGTGTTTCAAACCTGCTCTGTGAAAGGGAGTGTTCAATTCTGTGACTTGAATGCAAACATCACAAAGTAGTTTCTGACAATGCTGCTGTCTGCTTTTTATACGTATTCCCGTTTCCAACGAAATCCTCCAAGCTGGCCTAATACCCACTTGCATATTCCACAAAAAGAGTGTTTCAAAACTGCTCTCTCAAAAGAAAGGTTCAACTCTGTTTGCTGAGTAGATACATCATGAAAAAAGTTCTGACATTGCTTCTATCTAGTTTTTATTGGAAGATATCTCCTTTTTCACCGTAGACCTGAAAGCGCTCCAAATGTCCACTTCCAGATAGTACAAAAAGAGTGTTTCAAACCTGCTCTATGAATGGGAATGTTCAACACTGGGACTTCAATTGAAACATCCCAAAGCAGTTTCTGAGAATGCTTCTGTGTAGAGTTTACATGAAGACATTCCCGTTTCCAACGAAATCCTCAAAGCTATCCAAATATCCTCTTGCAGATTTTACAAAAAGTGTGTTTCAGAACTGCTCTATCAAAACAAAGGTTCAACACTGTCAGTTGAGGGCACACATCACAAATAAGTTTCTGAGAATGCTTCTGTCTAGTTTTCATGGGAAGATATTTCCTTTTTCACCATAGGCCTGAAAGCGATCCAAATGTCCACATCCAGATACTACAAAAAGAGTGTTTCAAACCTGCTCTATGAAAGGGAATGTTCAACTCTGTGACTTGAATGCAAACATCACAAAGAAGTTTCTGAGAATGCTGCTGTCTGCTTTTTGTATGTAATCCCGTTTCCAACGAAATCCTCCCAGCTAGCCAAATATCCACTTGCAGATTCCGCAAAAAGAGTGTTTCAAAACTGCTCCTTCAAAACGATGGTTTAGTTCTGTTAGTTGAGTACATACATCACAGATAAGTTTCTGAGAATGCTTCTGTCTAGTTTTTATGGGAGGATATTTCCTTTTTCAACACAAGCCTGAATGCGCTCCGAATGGACACTTCCAGATATGACAAAAGGCGTGTTTCAAACCTGCTCTCTCAAAGGGAATGTTCAACTCTGTGACTTCAATGCAAACATCACAAAGAAGTTTCTGAGAACGCTGCTGTCTGCTTTTTACATGTATTCCCGTTTCCAACGAAATCCTCAAAGCTGCCCTAATATCCACTTGCATATTCCACAAAAAGAGTGTTGCAAAACTGCTCTCTCAAAAGAAAGGTTCAACTCTGTTAGCTGAGTAGATCCATCACATAAAAGTTTCTGACGTTGCTTCTATCTAGATTTTCTTGGAAGATATTTCCATTTTCACCGTCGTCCTGAAAGCGCTCCAAATGTCCACTTCCAGGGAATGCAGAAAGAGTGTTTCCAACCTGCTCTATAAAAGGGAATGTTCAACACTGGGACTTCAATCGAAACATCCCAACGAAGTTTCTGAGAATGCTTCTGTCTAGAGTTTATATGAAGCCATTCCCGTTTGCAATGAAATCCTCAAAGCTATCCAAATATCCTCTTGCAGATTTTACAAAAAGAGTCTTTCAAAACTGCTCTATCAAAAGAAAGCTTCAACTCTGTTAGTTGAGGGCACACATCACAAATAAATTTCTGAGAATGCTTCTGTCTAGTTTTTACGGGAAGATATTTCCTTTTTCACCATACGCCTGAAAGCGCTCCAAATGTCCTCATCCAGATACTACAAAAAGAGTGTTTCCAACCTGCTCTATGAAAGGGAATGCTCAACTCTGTGACTTGAATGCAGACATCACAAAGAAGTTTCTGAGAATGCTGCTGTCTCCTTTTTATATGTAATCCCGTTTCCAACGAAATCCTCAAAGCTAGCCAAATATCCACTTGCAGATTCCACGAAAACAGTGTTTCAAAACTGCTCCTTCAAAACGATGGTTCAATTCTGTTAGTTGAGCAAACACATCACAAGTAAGTTTCTGAGAATGCTTCCGTCTAGTTTTTATGGGAAGATATTTCCTTTTTCAACATAGGCCTGAAAGCGCTCCAAATGTCCACTTCCAGATACTACAAAAAGAGTGTTTCAAATCTGCTCTATGAATGGGAATGTTCTACTCTGTGACTTGAATGCAACATCCCAAAGAAGTTTCTGAGAATGCTTCTGTCTAGAGTTTATCTGAAGACATACCCGTTTCCAACGAAATCCTCAAAGCTATCCAAATATCCTCTTGCAGATTCTACAAACAGAGTGTTTCAAAGCTGCTCTTTGCAAAGAAAGGTTCAACTCTGTCAGTAGAGGGCACACATCACGAACAAGTTTCTGAGAATGCTTCTGTCTAGTTTTTATGGGAAGATATTTCCTTTTTCACGTTAGGCCTGAAAGCACGCCAAATGTTCACTTATAGACACTACAAAAAGAGTGTTTCAAACCTGCTCTGTGAAAGGGAATGTTCAACACTGTGACTTCAATTGAAACATCCCAAAGAAGTTTCTGAGAATGCTTCTGTCTAGAGTTTATCTGAAGACATTCCCGTTTCCCAAGAAATCCTCAAAGCTATCCAAATATCCTCTTGTAGATTCTACAAAAGGAGGGTTTCAAAACTGCTCTTTGCAAAGAAAGCTTCAACTCTGTCAGTAGAGGGCACACATCACAAACAAGTTTCTGAGAATGCTTCTGTCTAGTTTTTATGGGAAGATATTTCCTTTTTCACCTCAGGCCTGAAATCAATCCAAATGTTCACTTACAGACACTACAAAAAGAGTGTTTCAAACCTGCTCTGTGAAAGGGAGTGTTCAATTCTGTGACTTGAATGCAAACATCACAAAGTAGTTTCTGACAATGCTGCTGTCTGCTTTTTATACGTATTCCCGTTTCCAACGAAATCCTCCAAGCTGGCCTAATACCCACTTGCATATTCCACAAAAGGAGTGTTTCAAAACTGCTCTCTCAAAAGAAAGGTTCAACTCTGTTTGCTGAGTAGATACATCATGAAAAAAGTTCTGACATTGCTTCTATCTAGTTTTTATTGGAAGATATCTCCTTTTTCACCGTAGACCTGAAAGCGCTCCAAATGTCCACTTCCAGATAGTACAAAAAGAGTGTTTCAAACCTGCTCTATGAAAGGGAATGTTCAACACTGGGACTTCAATTGAAACATCCCAAAGCAGTTTCTGAGAATGCTTCTGTCTAGAGTTTACATGAAGACATTCCCGTTTCCAACGAAATCCTCAAAGCTATCCAAATATCCTCTTGCAGATTTTACAAAAAGTGTGTTTCAGAACTGCTCTATCAAAACAAAGGTTCAACACTGTCAGTTGAGGGCACACATCACAAATAAGTTTCTGAGAATGCTTCTGTCTAGTTTTCATGGGAAGATATTTCCTTTTTCACCATAGGCCTGAAAGCGATCCAAATGTCCACATCCAGATACTACAAAAAGAGTGTTTCAAACCTGCTCTATGAAAGGGAATGTTCAACTCTGTGACTTGAATGCAAACATCACAAAGAAGTTTCTGAGAATGCTGCTGTCTGCTTTTTGTATGTAATCCCGTTTCCAACGAAATCCTCCCAGCTAGCCAAATATCCACTTGCAGATTCCGCAAAAAGAGTGTTTCAAAACTGCTCCTTCAAAACGATGGTTTAGTTCTGTTAGTTGAGTACATACATCACAGATAAGTTTCTGAGAATGCTTCTGTCTAGTTTTTATGGGAGGATATTTCCTTTTTCAACACAAGCCTGAATGCGCTCCGAATGGACACTTCCAGATATGACAAAAGGCGTGTTTCAAACCTGCTCTCTCAAAGGGAATGTTCAACTCTGTGACTTCAATGCAAACATCACAAAGAAGTTTCTGAGAATGCTGCTGTCTGCTTTTTACATGTATTCCCGTTTCCAACGAAATCCTCAAAGCTGCCCTAATATCCACTTGCATATTCCACAAAAAGAGTGTTGCAAAACTGCTCTCTCAAAAGAAAGGTTCAACTCTGTTAGCTGAGTAGATCCATCACAGAAAAGTTTCTGACGTTGCTTCTATCTAGATTTTCTTGGAAGATATTTCCATTTTCACCGTCGTCCTGAAAGCGCTCCAAATGTCCACTTCCAGGGAATGCAGAAAGAGTGTTTCCAACCTGCTCTATAAAAGGGAATGTTCAACACTGGGACTTCAATCGAAACATCCCAACGAAGTTTCTGAGAATGCTTCTGTCTAGAGTTTATATGAAGCCATTCCCGTTTGCAACGAAATCCTCAAAGCTATCCAAATATCCTCTTGCAGATTTTACAAAAAGAGTGTTTCAAAACTGCTCTATCAAAAGAAAGGTTCAACTCTGTTAGTTGAGGGCACACATCACAAATAAATTTCTGAGAATGCTTCTGTCTAGTTTTTACGGGAAGATATTTCCTTTTTCACCATACGCCTGAAAGCGCTCCAAATGTCCTCATCCAGATACTACACAAAGAGTGTTTCCAACCTGCTCTATGAAAGGGAATGCTCAACTCTGTGACTTGAATGCAGACATCACAAAGAAGTTTCTGAGAATGCTGCTGTCTCCTTTTTATATGTAATCCCGTTTCCAACGAAATCCTCAAAGCTAGCCAAATATCCACTTGCAGATTCCACGAAAACAGTGTTTCAAAACTGCTCCTTCAAAACGATGGTTCAATTCTGTTAGTTGAGCAAACACATCACAAGTAAGTTTCTGAGAATGCTTCCGTCTTGTTTTTATGGGAAGATATTTCCTTTTTCAACATAGGCCTGAAAGCGCTCCAAATGTCCACTTCCAGATACTACAAAAAGAGTGTTTCAAATCTGCTCTATGAATGGGAATGTTCTACTCTGTGACTTGAATGCAACATCCCAAAGAAGTTTCTGAGAATGCTTCTGTCTAGAGTTTATCTGAAGACATACCCGTTTCCAACGAAATCCTCAAAGCTATCCAAATATCCTCTGGCAGATTCTACAAAAAGAGTGTTTCAAAGCTGCTCTTTGCAAAGAAAGGTTCAACTCTGTCAGTAGAGGGCACACATCACGAACAAGTTTCTGAGAATGCTTTTGTCTAGTTTTTATGGGAAGATATTTCCTTTTTCACGTTAGGCCTGAAAGCACGCCAAATGTTCACTTATAGACACTACAAAAAGAGTGTTTCAAACCTGCTCTGTGAAAGGGAATGTTCAACACTGTGACTTCAATTGAAACATCCCAAAGAAGTTTCTGAGAATGCTTCTGTCTAGAGTTTATCTGAAGACATTCCCGTTTCCCAAGAAATCCTCAAAGCTATCCAAATATCCTCTTGCAGATTCTACAAAAAGAGTGTTTCAAAACTGCTCTTTGCAAAGAAAGGTTCAACTCTGTCAGTAGAGGGCACACATCACAAACAAGTTTCTGAGAATGCTTCTGTCTAGTTTTTATGGGAAGATATTTCCTTTTTCACCTTAGGCCTGAAAGCAATCCAAATGTTCACTTACAGACACTACAAAAAGAGTGTTTCAAACCTGCTCTGTGAAAGGGAGTGTTCAATTCTGTGACTTGAATGCAAACATCACAAAGTAGTTTCTGACAATGCTGCTGTCTGCTTTTTATACGTATTCCCGTTTCCAACGAAATCCTCCAAGCTGGCCTAATACCCACTTGCATATTCCACAAAAAGAGTGTTTCAAAACTGCTCTCTCAAAAGAAAGGTTCAACTCTGTTTGCTGAGTAGATACATCATGAAAAAAGTTCTGACATTGCTTCTATCTAGTTTTTATTGGAAGATATCTCCTTTTTCACCGTAGACCTGAAAGCGCTCCAAATGTCCACTTCCAGATAGTACAAAAAGAGTGTTTCAAACCTGCTCTATGAAAGGGAATGTTCAACACTGGGACTTCAATTGAAACATCCCAAAGCAGTTTCTGAGAATGCTTCTGTCTAGAGTTTACATGAAGACATTCCCGTTTCCAACGAAATCCTCAAAGCTATCCAAATATCCTCTTGCAGATTTTACAAAAAGTGTGTTTCAGAACTGCTCTATCAAAACAAAGGTTCAACACTGTCAGTTGAGGGCACACATCACAAATAAGTTTCTGAGAATGCTTCTGTCTAGTTTTCATGGGAAGATATTTCCTTTTTCACCATAGGCCTGAAAGCGATCCAAATGTCCACATCCAGATACTACAAAAAGAGTGTTTCCAACCTGCTCTATGAAAGGGAATGCTCAACTCTGTGAATTGAATGCAAACATCACAAAGAAGTTTCTGAGAATGCTGCTGTCTCCTTTGTGTATGTAATCCCATTTCCAACGAAATCCTCAAAGCTAGCCAAATATCCACTTGCAGATTCCACGAAAACAGTGTTTCAAAACTGCTCCTTCAAAACGATGGTTCAATCCTGTTAGTTGAGCAAACACATCACAAATAAGTTTCTGAGAATGCTTCCGTCTAGTTTTTATGGGAAGATATTTCCTTTTTCAACATAGGCCTGAAAGCGCTCCAAATGTCCACTTCCAGATACTACAAAAAGAGTGTTTCAAATCTGCTCTATGAATGGGAATGTTCTACTCTGTGACTTGAATGCAACATCCCAAAGAAGTTTCTGAGAATGCTTCTGTCTAGAGTTTATCTGAAGACATACCCGTTTCCAACGAAATCCTCCAAGCTATCCAAATATCCTCTTGCAGATTCTACAAAAAGAGTGTTTCAAAGCTGCTCTTTGCAAAGAAAGGTTCAACTCTGTCAGTAGAGGGGACACATCAAGAACAAGTTTCTGAGAATGCTTCTGTCTAGTTTTTATGGGAAGATATTTCCTTTTTCACGTTACGCCTGAAAGCACGCCAAATGTTCACTTATAGACACTACAAAAAGAGTGTTTCAAACCTGCTCTGTGAAAGGGAATGTTCAACACTGTGACTTCAATTGAAACATCCCAAAGAAGTTTACTGAGAATGCTTCTGTCTAGAGTTTATCTGAAGACATTCCCGTTTCCCAAGAAATCCTCAAAGCTATCCAAATATCCTCTTGCAGATTCTACAAAAAGAGTGTTTCAAAACTGCTCTTTGCAAAGAAAGTTTCAACTCTGTCAGTAGAGGGCACACATCACAAACAAGTTTCTGAGAATGCTTCTGTCTAGTTTTTGTGGGAAGATATTTCCTTTTTCACCTTAGGCCTGAAAGCAATCCAAATGTTCACTTACAGACACTACAAAAAGAGTGTTTCAAACCTGCTCTGTGAAAGGGAGTGTTCAATTCTGTGACTTGAATGCAAACATCACAAAGTAGTTTCTGACAATGCTGCTGTCTGCTTTTTATACGTATTCCCGTTTCCAACGAAATCCTCCAAGCTGGCCTAATACCCACTTGCATATTCCACAAAAAGAGTGTTTCAAAACTGCTCTCTCAAAAGAAAGGTTCAACTCTGTTTGCTGAGTAGATACATCATGAAAAAAGTTCTGACATTGCTTCTATCTAGTTGTTATTGGAAGATATCTCCTTTTTCACCGTAGACCTGAAAGCGCTCCAAATGTCCACTTCCAGATAGTACAAAAAGAGTGTTTCAAACCTGCTCTATGAAAGGGAATGTTCAACACTGGGACTTCAATTGAAACATCCCAAAGCAGTTTCTGAGAATGCTTCTGTGTAGAGTTTACATGAAGACATTCCCGTTTCCAACGAAATCCTCAAGCTATCCAAATATCCTCTTGCAGATTTTACAAAAAGTGTGTTTCAGAACTGCTCTATCAAAACAAAGGTTCAACACTGTCAGTTGAGGGCACACATCACAAATAAGTTTCTGAGAATGCTTCTGTCTAGTTTTCATGGGAAGATATTTCCTTTTTCACCATAGGCCTGAAAGCGATCCAAATGTCCACATCCAGATACTACAAAAAGAGTGTTTCAAACCTGCTCTATGAAAGGGAATGTTCAACTCTGTGACTTGAATGCAAACATCACAAAGAAGTTTCTGAGAATGCTGCTGTCTGCTTTTTGTATGTAATCCCGTTTCCAACGAAATCCTCCCAGCTAGCCAAATATCCACTTGCAGATTCCGCAAAAAGAGTGTTTCAAAACTGCTCCTTCAAAACGATGGTTTAGTTCTGTTAGTTGAGTACATACATCACAGATAAGTTTCTGAGAATGCTTCTGTCTAGTTTTTATGGGAGGATATTTCCTTTTTCAACACAAGCCTGAATGCGCTCCGAATGGACACTTCCAGATATGACAAAAGGCGTGTTTCAAACCTGCTCTCTCAAAGGGAATGTTCAACTCTGTGACTTCAATGCAAACATCACAAAGAAGTTTCTGAGAATGCTGCTGTCTGCTTTTTACATGTATTCCCGTTTCCAACGAAATCCTCAAAGCTGCCCTAATATCCACTTGCATATTCCACAAAAAGAGTGTTGCAAAACTGCTCTCTCAAAAGAAAGGTTCAACTCTGTTAGCTGAGTAGATCCATCACAGAAAAGATTCTGACGTTGCTTCTATCTAGATTTTCTTGGAAGATATTTCCATTTTCACCGTCGTCCTGAAAGCGCTCCAAATGTCCACTTCCAGGGAATGCAGAAAGAGTTTTTCCAACCTGCTCTATAAAAGGGAATGTTCAACACTGGGACTTCAATCGAAACATCCCAACGAAGTTTCTGAGAATGCTTCTGTCTAGAGTTTATATGAAGCCATTCCCGTTTGCAACGAAATCCTCAAAGCTATCCAAATATCCTCTTGCAGATTTTACAAAAAGAGTGTTTCAAAACTGCTCTATCAAAAGAAAGGTTCAACTTCTGTTAGTTGAGGGCACACATCACAAATAAACTTCTGAGAATGCTTCTGTCTAGTTTTTACGGGAAGATATTTCCTTTTTCACCATACGCCTGAAAGCGCTCCAAATGTCCTCATCCAGATACTACAAAAAGAGTGTTTCCAACCTGCTCTATGAAAGGGAATGCTCAACTCCGTGAATTGAATGCAGACATCACAAAGAAGTTTCTGAGAATGCTGCTGTCTCCTTTGTATATGTAATCCCGTTTCCAACGAAATCCTCAAAGCTAGCCAAATATCCACTTGCAGATTCCACGAAAACAGTGTTTCAAAACTGCTCCTTCAAAACGATGGTTCAATCCTGTTAGTTGAGCAAACACATCACAAATAAGTTTCTGAGAATGCTTCCCGTCTAGTTTTTATGGGAAGATATTTCCTTTTTCAACATAGGCCTGAAAGCGCTCCAAATGTCCACTTCCAGATACTACAAAAAGAGTGTTTCAAATCTGCTCTATGCATGGGAATGTTCTACTCTGTGACTTGAATGCAACATCCCAAAGAAGTTTCTGAGAATGTTTCTGTCTAGAGTTTATCTGAAGACATACCCGTTTCCAACGAAATCCTCCAAGCTATCCAAATATCCTCTTGCAGATTCTACAAAAAGAGTGTTTCAAAGCTGCTCTTTGCAAAGAAAGGTTCAACTCTCTCAGTAGAGGGGACACATCAAGAACAAGTTTCTGAGAATGCTTCTGTCTAGTTTTTATGGGAAGATATTTCCTTTTTCACGTTACGCCTGAAAGCACGCCAAATGTTCACTTATAGACACTACAAAAAGAGTGTTTCAAACCTGCTCTGTGAAAGGGAATGTTCAACACTGTGACTTCAATTGAAACATCCCAAAGAAGTTTCTGAGAATGCTTCTGTCTAGAGTTTATCTGAAGACATTCCCGTTTCCCAAGAAATCCTCAAAGCTATCCAAATATCCTCTTGCAGATTCTACAAAAAGAGTGTTTCAAAACTGCCCTTTGCAAAGAAAGGTTCAACTCTGTCAGTAGAGGGCACACATCACAAACAAGTTTCTGAGAATGCTTCTGTCTAGTTTTTATGGGAAGATATTTCCTTTTTCACCTTAGGCCTGAAAGCAATCCAAATGTTCACTTACAGACACTACAAAAAGAGTGTTTCAAACCTGCTCTGTGAAAGGGAGTGTTCAATTCTGTGACTTGAATGCAAACATCACAAAGTAGTTTCTGACAATGCTGCTGTCTGCTTTTTATACGTATTCCCGTTTCCAACGAAATCCTCCAAGCTGGCCTAATACCCACTTGCATATTCCACAAAAAGAGTGTTTCAAAACTGCTCTCTCAAAAGAAAGGGTTCAACTCTGTTTGCTGAGTAGATACATCATGAAAAAAGTTCTGACATTGCTTCTATCTAGTTGTTATTGGAAGATATCTCCTTTTTCACCGTAGACCTGAAAGCGCTCCGAATGTCCACTTCCAGATAGTACAAAAAGAGTGTTTCAAACCTGCTCTATGAAAGGGAATGTTCAACACTGGGACTTCAATTGAAACATCCCAAAGCAGTTTCTGAGAATGCTTCTGTCTAGAGTTTACATGAAGACATTCCCGTTTCCAACGAAATCCTCAAAGCTATCCAAATATCCTCTTGCAGATTTTACAAAAAGTGTGTTTCAGAACTGCTCTATCAAAACAAAGGTTCAACACTGTCAGTTGAGGGCACACATCACAAATAAGTTTCTGAGAATGCTTCTGTCTAGTTTTCATGGGAAGATATTTCCTTTTTCACCATAGGCCTGAAAGCGATCCAAATGTCCACATCCAGATACTACAAAAAGAGTGTTTCAAACCTGCTCTATGAAAGGGAATGTTCAACTCTGTGACTTGAATGCAAACATCACAAAGAAGTTTCTGAGAATGCTGCTGTCTGCTTTTTGTATGTAATCCCGTTTCCAACGAAATCCTCCCAGCTAGCCAAATATCCACTTGCAGATTCCGCAAAAAGAGTGTTTCAAAACTGCTCCTTCAAAACGATGGTTTAGTTCTGTTAGTTGAGTACATACATCACAGATAAGTTTCTGAGAATGCTTCTGTCTAGTTTTTATGGGAGGATATTTCCTTTTTCAACACAAGCCTGAATGCGCTCCGAATGGACACTTCCAGATATGACAAAAGGCGTGTTTCAAACCTGCTCTCTCAAAGGGAATGTTCAACTCTGTGACTTCAATGCAAACATCACAAAGAAGTTTCTGAGAATGCTGCTGTCTGCTTTTTACATGTATTCCCGTTTCCAACGAAATCCTCAAAGCTGCCCTAATATCCACTTGCATATTCCACAAAAAGAGTGTTGCAAAACTGCTCTCTCAAAAGAAAGGTTCAACTCTGTTAGCTGAGTAGATCCATCACATAAAAGTTTCTGACATTGCTCTATCCAGATTTTATTGGAAGATATTTCCATTTTCACCGTCGTCCTGAAAGCGCTCCAATTGTCCACTTCCAGGGAATGCAGAAAGAGTGTTTCCAACCTGCTCTATAAAAGGGAATGTTCAACACTGGGACTTCAATCGAAACATCCCGACGAAGTTTCTGAGAATGCTTTCTGTCTAGAGTTTATATGAAGCCATTCCCGTTTGCAACGAAATCCTCAAAGCTATCCAAATATCCTCTTGCAGATTTTACAAAAAGAGTGTTTCAAAACTGCTCTATCAAAAGAAAGGTTCAACTCTGTTAGTTGAGGGCACACATCAGAAATAAACTTCTGAGAATGCTTCTGTCTTGTTTTTACGGGAAGATATTTCCTTTTTCACCATACGCCTGAAAGCGCTCCAAATGTCCTCATCCAGATACTACAAAAAGAGTGTTTCAAACCTGCTCTATGAAAGGGAATGTTCAACACTGGGACTTCAATTGAAACATCCCAAAGCAGTTTCTGAGAATGCTTCTGTCTAGAGTTTACATGAAGACATTCCCGTTTCCAACGAAATCCTCAAAGCTATCCAAATATCCTCTTGCAGATTTTACAAAAAGTGTGTTTCAGAACTGCTCTATCAAAACAAAGGTTCAACACTGTCAGTTGAGGGCACACATCACAAATAAGTTTCTGAGAATGCTTCTGTCTAGTTTTCATGGGAAGATATTTCCTTTTTCACCATAGGCCTGAAAGCGATCCAAATGTCCACATCCAGATACTACAAAAAGAGTGTTTCAAACCTGCTCTATGAAAGGGAATGTTCAACTCTGTGACTTGAATGCAAACATCACAAAGAAGTTTCTGAGAATGCTGCTGTCTGCTTTTTGTATGTAATCCCGTTTCCAACGAAATCCTCCCAGCTAGCCAAATATCCACTTGCAGATTCCGCAAAAAGAGTGTTTCAAAACTGCTCCTTCAAAACGATGGTTTAGTTCTGTTACTTGAGTACATACATCACAAATAAGTTTCTGAGAATGCTTCTGTCTAGTTTTTATGGGAGGATATTTCCTTTTTCAACACAAGCCTGAATGCGCTCCGAATGGACACTTCCAGATATGACAAAAGGCGTGTTTCAAACCTGCTCTCTCAAAGGGAATGTTCAACTCTGTGACTTCAATGCAAACATCACAAAGAAGTTTCTGAGAATGCTGCTGTCTGCTTTTTACATGTATTCCCGTTTCCAACGAAATCCTCAAAGCTGCCCTAATATCCACTTGCATATTCCACAAAAAGAGTGTTGCAAAACTGCTCTCTCAAAAGAAAGGTTCAACTCTGTTAGCTGAGTAGATCCATCACATAAAAGTTTCTGACATTGCTTCTATCTAGATTTTCTTGGAAGATATTTCCATTTTCACCGTCGTCCTGAAAGCGCTCCAAATGTCCACTTCCAGGGAATGCAGAAAGAGTGTTTCCAACCTGCTCTATAAAAGGGAATGTTCAACACTGGGACTTCAATCGAAACATCCCAACGAAGTTTCTGAGAATGCTTCTGTCTAGAGTTTATATGAAGCCATTCCCGTTTGCAACGAAATCCTCAAAGCTATCCAAATATCCTCTTGCAGATTTTACAAAAAGAGTGTTTCAAAACTGCTCTATCAAAAGAAAGGTTCAACTCTGTTAGTTGAGGGCACACATCACAAATAAATTTCTGAGAATGCTTCTGTCTAGTTTTTACGGGAAGATATTTCCTTTTTCACCATAGGCCTGAAAGCGCTCCAAATGTCCTCATCCAGATACTACAAAAAGAGTGTTTCCAACCTGCTCTATGAAAGGGAATGCTCAACTCTGTGACTTGAATGCAGACATCACAAAGAAGTTTCTGAGAATGCTGCTGTCTCCTTTTTATATGTAATCCCGTTTCCAACGAAATCCTCAAAGCTAGCCAAATATCCACTTGCAGATTCCACGAAAACAGTGTTTCAAAACTGCTCCTTCAAAACGATGGTTCAATCCTGTTAGTTGAGCAAACACATCACAAATAAGTTTCTGAGAATGCTTCCGTCTAGTTTTTATGGGAAGATATTTCCTTTTTCAACATAGGCCTGAAAGCGCTCCCAATGTCCACTTCCAGATACTACAAAAAGAGTGTTTCAAATCTGCTCTATGAATGGGAATGTTCTACTCTGTGACTTGAATGCAACATCCCAAAGAAGTTTCTGAGAATGCTTCTGTCTAGAGTTTATCTGAAGACATACCCGTTTCCAACGAAATCCTCCAAGCTATCCAAATATCCTCTTGCAGATTCTACAAAAAGAGTGTTTCAAAGCTGCTCTTTGCAAAGAAAGGTTCAACTCTGTCAGTAGAGGGGACACATCAAGAACAAGTTTCTGAGAATGCTTCTGTCTAGTTTTTATGGGAAGATATTTCCTTTTTCACGTTACGCCTGAAAGCACGCCAAATGTTCACTTATAGACACTACAAAAAGAGTGTTTCAAACCTGCTCTGTGAAAGGGAATGTTCAACACTGTGACTTCAATTGAAACATCCCAAAGAAGTTTCTGAGAATGCTTCTGTCTAGAGTTTATCTGAAGACATTCCCGTTTCCCAAGAAATCCTCAAAGCTATCCAAATATCCTCTTGCAGATTCTACAAAAAGAGTGTTTCAAAACTGCTCTTTGCAAAGAAAGGTTCAACTCTGTCAGTAGAGGGCACACATCAAGAACAAGTTTCTGAGAATGCTTCTGTCTAGTTTTTATGGGAAGATATTTCCTTTTTCACGTTACGCCTGAAAGCACGCCAAATGTTCACTTATAGACACTACAAAAAGAGAGTTTCAAACCTGCTCTGTGAAAGGGAGTGTTCAATTCTGTGACTTGAATGCAAACATCACAAAGTAGTTTCTGACAATGCTGCTGTCTGCTTTTTATACGTATTCCCGTTTCCAACGAAATCCTCCAAGCTGGCCTAATACCCACTTGCATATTCCACAAAAAGAGTGTTTCAAAACTGCTCTCTCAAAAGAAAGGTTCAACTCTGTTTGCTGAGTAGATACATCATGAAAAAAGTTCTGACATTGCTTCTATCTAGTTTTTATTGGAAGATATCTCCTTTTTCACCGTAGACCTGAAAGCGCTCCAAATGTCCACTTCCAGATAGTACAAAAAGAGGGTTTCAAACCTGCTCTATGAAAGGGAATGTTCAACACTGGGACTTCAATTGAAACATCCCAAAGCAGTTTCTGAGAATGCTTCTGTGTAGAGTTTACATGAAGACATTCCCGTTTCCAACGAAATCCTCAAAGCTATCCAAATATCCTCTTGCAGATTTTACAAAAAGTGTGTTTCAGAACTGCTCTATCAAAACAAAGGTTCAACACTGTCAGTTGAGGGCACACATCACAAATAAGTTTCTGAGAATGCTTCTGTCTAGTTTTCATGGGAAGATATTTCCTTTTTCACCATAGGCCTGAAAGCGATCCAAATGTCCACATCCAGATACTACAAAAAGAGTGTTTCAAACCTGCTCTATGAAAGGGAATGTTCAACTCTGTGACTTGAATGCAAACATCACAAAGAAGTTTCTGAGAATGCTGCTGTCTGCTTTTTGTATGTAATCCCGTTTCCAACGAAATCCTCCCAGCTAGCCAAATATCCACTTGCAGATTCCGCAAAAAGAGTGTTTCAAAACTGCTCCTTCAAAACGATGGTTTAGTTCTGTTAGTTGAGTACATACATCACAGATAAGTTTCTGAGAATGCTTCTGTCTAGTTTTTATGGGAGGATATTTCCTTTTTCAACACAAGCCTGAATGCGCTCCGAATGGACACTTCCAGATATGACAAAAGGCGTGTTTCAAACCTGCTCTCTCAAAGGGAATGTTCAACTCTGTGACTTCAATGCAAACATCACAAAGAAGTTTCTGAGAATGCTGCTGTCTGCTTTTTACATGTATTCCCGTTTCCAACGAAATCCTCAAAGCTGCCCTAATATCCACTTGCATATTCCACAAAAAGAGTGTTGCAAAACTGCTCTCTCAAAAGAAAGGTTCAACTCTGTTAGCTGAGTAGATCCATCACAGAAAAGTTTCTGACGTTGCTTCTATCTAGATTTTCTTGGAAGATATTTCCATTTTCACCGTCGTCCTGAAAGCGCTCCAAATGTCCACTTCCAGGGAATGCAGAAAGAGTGTTTCCAACCTGCTCTATAAAAGGGAATGTTCAACACTGGGACTTCAATCGAAACATCCCAACGAAGTTTCTGAGAATGCTTCTGTCTAGAGTTTATATGAAGCCATTCCCGTTTGCAACGAAATCCTCAAAGCTATCCAAATATCCTCTTGCAGATTTTACAAAAAGAGTGTTTCAAAACTGCTCTATCAAAAGAAAGGTTCAACTCTGTTAGTTGAGGGCACACATCACAAATAAATTTCTGAGAATGCTTCTGTCTAGTTTTTACGGGAAGATATTTCCTTTTTCACCATACGCCTGAAAGCGCTCCAAATGTCCTCATCCAGATACTACAAAAAGAGTGTTTCCAACCTGCTCTATGAAAGGGAATGCTCAACTCTGTGACTTGAATGCAGACATCACAAAGAAGTTTCTGAGAATGCTGCTGTCTCCTTTGTATATGTAATCCCGTTTCCAACGAAATCCTCAAAGCTAGCCAAATATCCACTTGCAGATTCCACGAAAACAGTGTTTCAAAACTGCTCCTTCAAAACGATGGTTCAATTCTGTTAGTTGAGCAAACACATCACAAGTAAGTTTCTGAGAATGCTTCCGTCTAGTTTTTATGGGAAGATATTTCCTTTTTCAACATAGGCCTGAAAGCGCTCCAAATGTCCACTTCCAGATACTACAAAAAGAGTGTTTCAAATCTGCTCTATGAATGGGAATGTTCTACTCTGTGACTTGAATGCAACATCCCAAAGAAGTTTCTGAGAATGCTTCTGTCTAGAGTTTATCTGAAGACATACCCGTTTCCAACGAAATCCTCAAAGCTATCCAAATATCCTCTTGCAGATTCTACAAAAAGAGTGTTTCAAAGCTGCTCTTTGCAAAGAAAGGTTCAACTCTGTCAGTAGAGGGCACACATCATGAACAAGTTTCTGAGAATGCTTCTGTCTAGTTTTTATGGGAAGATATTTCCTTTTTCACGTTAGGCCTGAAAGCACGCCAAATGTTCACTTATAGACACTACAAAAAGAGTGTTTCAAACCTGCTCTGTGAAAGGGAATGTTCAACACTGTGACTTCAATTGAAACATCCCAAAGAAGTTTCTGAGAATGCTTCTGTCTAGAGTTTATCTGAAGACATACCCGTTTCCAACGAAATCCTCAAAGCTATCCACATATCCTCTTGCAGATTCTACAAAAAGAGTGTTTCAAAGCTGCTCTTTGCAAAGAAAGGTTCAACTCTGTCAGTAGAGGGCACACATCACGAACAAGTTTCTGAGAATGCTTCTGTCTAGTTTTTATGGGAAGATATTTCCTTTTTCACGTTAGGCCTGAAAGCACGCCAAATGTTCAATTATAGACACTACAAAAAGAGTGTTTCAAACCTGCTCTGTGAAAGGGAATGTTCAACACTGTGACTTCAATTGAAACATCCCAAAGAAGTTTCTGAGAATGCTTCTGTCTAGAGTTTATCTGAAGACATTCCCGTTTCCCAAGAAATCCTCAAAGCTATCCAAATATCCTCTTGCAGATTCTACAAAAAGAGTGTTTCAAAACTGCTCTTTGCAAAGAAAGGTTCAACTCTGTCAGTAGAGGGCACACATCACAAACAAGTTTCTGAGAATGCTTCTGTCTAGTTTTTATGGGAAGATATTTCCTTTTTCACCTTAGGCCTGAAAGCAATCCAAATGTTCACTTACAGACACTACAAAAAGAGTGTTTCAAACCTGCTCTGTGAAAGGGAGTGTTCAGTTCTGTGACTTGAATGCAAACATCACAAAGTAGTTTCTGACAATGCTGCTGTCTGCTTTTTATACGTATTCCCGTTTCCAACGAAATCCTCCAAGCTGGCCTAATACCCACTTTCATATTCCACAAAAAGAGTGTTTCAAAACTGCTCTCTCAAAAGAAAGGTTCAACTCTGTTTGCTGAGTAGATACATCATGAAAAAAGTTCTGACATTGCTTCTATCTAGTTTTTATTGGAAGATATCTCCTTTTTCACCGTAGACCTGAAAGCGCTCCAAATGTCCACTTCCAGATAGTACAAAAAGAGTGTTTCAAACCTGCTCTATGAATGGGAATGTTTAACACTGGGACTTCAATTGAAACATCCCAAAGCAGTTTCTGAGAATGCTTCTGTGTAGAGTTTACATGAAGACATTTCCGTTTCCAACGAAATCCTCAAAGCTATCCAAATATCCTCTTGCAGATTTTACAAAAAGTGTGTTTCAGAACTGCTCTATCAAAACAAAGGTTCAACACTGTCAGTTGAGGGCACACATCACAAACAAGTTTCTGAGAATGCTTCTGTCTAGTTTTCATGGGAAGATATTTCCTTTTTCACCATAGGCCTGAAAGCGATCCAAATGTCCACATCCAGATACTACAAAAAGAGTGTTTCAAACCTGCTCTATGAAAGGGAATGTTCAACTCTGTGACTTGAATGCAAACATCACAAAGAAGTTTCTGAGAATGCTGCTGTCTGCTTTTTGTATGTAATCCCGTTTCCAACGAAATCCTCCCAGCTAGCCAAATATCCACTTGCAGATTCCGCAAAAAGAGTGTTTCAAAACTGCTCCTTCAAAACGATGGTTTAGTTCGGTTAGTTGAGTACATACATCACAGATAAGTTTCTGAGAATGCTTCTGTCTAGTTTTTATGGGAGGATATTTTCTTTTTCAACACAAGCCTGAATGCGCTCCGAATGGACACTTCCAGATATGACAAAAGGCGTGTTTCAAACCTGCTCTCTCAAAGGGAATGTTCAACTCTGTGACTTCAATGCAAACATCACAAAGAAGTTTCTGAGAATGCTGCTGTCTGCTTTTTACATGTATTCCCGTTTCCAACGAAATCCTCAAAGCTGCCCTAATATCCACTTGCATATTCCACAAAAAGAGTGTTGCAAAACTGCTCTCTCAAAAGAAAGGTTCAACTCTGTTAGCTGAGTAGATCCATCACAGAATAGTTTCTGACATTGCTCTATCCAGATTTTATTGGAAGATATTTCCATTTTCACCGTCGTCCTGAAAGCGCTCCAATTGTCCACTTCCAGGGAATGCAGAAAGAGTGTTTCCAACCTGCTCTATAAAAGGGAATGTTCAACACTGGGACTTCAATCGAAACATCCCGACGAAGTTTCTGAGAATGCTTTCTGTCTAGAGTTTATATGAAGCCATTCCCGTTTGCAACGAAATCCTCAAAGCTATCCAAATATCCTCTTGCAGATTTTACAAAAAGAGTGTTTCAAAACTGCTCTATGAAAAGAAAGGTTCAACTCTGTTAGTTGAGGGCACACATCAGAAATAAACTTCTGAGAATGCTTCTGTCTAGTTTTTACGGGAAGATATTTCCTTTTTCACCATACGCCTGAAAGCGCTCCAAATGTCCTCATCCAGATACTACAAAAAGAGTGTTTCCAACCTGCTCTATGAAAGGGAATGCTCAACTCTGTGAATTGAATGCAGACATCACAAAGAAGTTTCTGAGAATGCTGCTGTCTCCTTTTTATATGTAATCCCGTTTCCAACGAAATCCTCAAAGCTAGCCAAATATCCACTTGCAGATTCCACGAAAACAGTGTTTCAAAACTGCTCCTTCAAAACGATGGTTCAATCCTGTTACTTGAGCAAACACATCACAAATAAGTTTCTGAGAATGCTTCCGTCTAGTTTTTATGGGAAGATATTTCCTTTTTCAACATAGGCCTGAAAGCGCTCCAAATGTCCACTTCCAGATACTACAAAAAGAGTGTTTCAAATCTGCTCTATGAATGGGAATGTTCTACTCTGTGACTTGAATGCAACATCCCAAAGAAGTTTCTGAGAATGCTTCTGTCTAGAGTTTATCTGAAGACATACCCGTTTCCAACGAAATCCTCAAAGCTATCCAAATATCCTCTTGCTGATTCTACAAAAAGTGTGTTTCAAAGCTGCTCTTTGCAAAGAAAGGTTCAACTCTGTCAGTAGAGGGCACACATCACGAACAAGTTTCTGAGAATGCTTCTGTCTAGTTTTTATGGGAAGATATTTCCTTTTTCACGTTAGGCCTGAAAGCACGCCAAATGTTCACTTATAGACACTACAAAAAGAGTGTTTCAAACCTGCTCTGTGAAAGGGAATGTTCAACACTGTGACTTCAATTGAAACATCCCAAAGAAGTTTCTGAGAATGCTTCTGTCTAGAGTTTATCTGAAGACATTCCCGTTTCCCAAGAAATCCTCAAAGCTATCCAAATATCCTCTTGCAGATTCTACAAAAAGAGTGTTTCAAAACTGCTCTTTGCAAAGAAAGGTTCAACTCTGTCAGTAGAGGGCACACATCACAAACAAGTTTCTGAGAATGCTTCTGTCTAGTTTTTATGGGAAGATATTTTCTTTTTCACCTTAGGCCTGAAAGCAATCCAAATGTTCACTTACAGACACTACAAAAAGTGTGTTTCAAACCTGCTCTGTGAAAGGGAGTGTTCAATTCTGTGACTTGAATGCAAACATCACAAAGTAGTTTCTGACAATGCTGCTGTCTGCTTTTTATACGTATTCCCGTTTCCAACGAAATCCTCCAAGCTGGCCTAATACCCACTTGCATATTCCACAAAAAGAGTGTTTCAAAACTGCTCTCTCAAAAGAAAGGTTCAACTCTGTTTGCTGAGTAGATACATCATGAAAAAAGTTCTGACATTGCTTCTATCTAGTTTTTATTGGAAGATATCTCCTTTTTCACCGTAGACCTGAAAGCGCTCCAAATGTCCACTTCCAGATAGTACAAAAAGAGTGTTTCAAACCTGCTCTATGAATGGGAATGTTCAACACTGGGACTTCAATTGAAACATCCCAAAGCAGTTTCTGAGAATGCTTCTGTGTAGAGTTTACATGAAGACATTCCCGTTTCCAACGAAATCCTCAAAGCTATCCAAATATCCTCTTGCAGATTTTACAAAAAGTGTGTTTCAGAACTGCTCTATCAAAACAAAGGTTCAACACTGTCAGTTGAGGGCACACATCACAAATAAGTTTCTGAGAATGCTTCTGTCTAGTTTTCATGGGAAGATATTTCCTTTTTCACCATAGGCCTGAAAGCGATCCAAATGTCCACATCCAGATACTACAAAAAGAGTGTTTCAAACCTGCTCTATGAAAGGGAATGTTCAACTCTGTGACTTGAATGCAAACATCACAAAGAAGTTTCTGAGAATGCTGCTGTCTGCTTTTTGTATGTAATCCCGTTTCCAACGAAATCCTCCCAGCTAGCCAAATATCCACTTGCAGATTCCGCAAAAAGAGTGTTTCAAAACTGCTCCTTCAAAACGATGGTTTAGTTCTGTTAGTTGAGTACATACATCACAGATAAGTTTCTGAGAATGCTTCTGTCTAGTTTTTATGGGAGGATATTTCCTTTTTCAACACAAGCCTGAATGCGCTCCGAATGGACACTTCCAGATATGACAAAAGGCGTGTTTCAAACCTGCTCTCTCAAAGGGAATGTTCAACTCTGTGACTTCAATGCAAACATCACAAAGAAGTTTCTGAGAATGCTGCTGTCTGCTTTTTACATGTATTCCCGTTTCCAACGAAATCCTCAAAGCTGCCCTAATATCCACTTGCATATTCCACAAAAAGAGTGTTGCAAAACTGCTCTCTCAAAAGAAAGGTTCAACTCTGTTAGCTGAGTAGATCCATCACAGAAAAGTTTCTGACGTTGCTTCTATCTAGATTTTCTTGGAAGATATTTCCATTTTCACCGTCGTCCTGAAAGCGCTCCAAATGTCCACTTCCAGGGAATGCAGAAAGAGTGTTTCCAACCTGCTCTATAAAAGGGAATGTTCAACACTGGGACTTCAATCGAAACATCCCAACGAAGTTTCTGAGAATGCTTCTGTCTAGAGTTTATATGAAGCCATTCCCGTTTGCAACGAAATCCTCAAAGCTATCCAAATATCCTCTTGCAGATTTTACAAAAAGAGTGTTTCAAAACTGCTCTATCAAAAGAAAGGTTCAACTCTGTTAGTTGAGGGCACACATCACAAATAAATTTCTGAGAATGCTTCTGTCTAGTTTTTACGGGAAGATATTTCCTTTTTCACCATACGCCTGAAAGCGCTCCAAATGTCCTCATCCAGATACTACAAAAAGAGTGTTTCCAACCTGCTCTATGAAAGGGAATGCTCAACTCTGTGACTTGAATGCAGACATCACAAAGAAGTTTCTGAGAATGCTGCTGTCTCCTTTTTATATGTAATCCCGTTTCCAACGAAATCCTCAAAGCTAGCCAAATATCCACTTGCAGATTCCACGAAAACAGTGTTTCAAAACTGCTCCTTCAAAACGATGGTTCAATCCTGTTAGTTGAGCAAACACATCACAAATAAGTTTCAGAGAATGCTTCCGTCTAGTTTTTATGGGAAGATATTTCCTTTTTCAACATAGGCCTGAAAGCGCTCCAAATGTCCACTTCCAGATACTACAAAAAGAGTGTTTCAAATCTGCTCTATGAATGGGAATGTTCTACTCTGTGACTTGAATGCAACATCCCAAAGATGTTTCTGAGAATGCTTCTGTCTAGAGTTTATCTGAAGACATACCCGTTTCCAACGAAATCCTCCAAGCTATCCAAATATCCTCTTGCAGATTCTACAAAAAGAGTGTTTCAAAGCTGCTCTTTGCAAAGAAAGGTTCAACTCTGTCAGTAGAGGGGACACATCAAGAACAAGTTTCTGAGAATGCTTCTGTCTAGTTTTTATGGGAAGATATTTCCTTTTTCACGTTAGGCCTGAAAGCACGCCAAATGTTCACTTATAGACACTACAAAAAGAGTGTTTCAAACCTGCTCTGTGAAAGGGAATGTTCAACACTGTGACTTCAATTGAAACATCCCAAAGAAGTTTCTGAGAATGCTTCTGTCTAGAGTTTATCTGAAGACATTCCCGTTTCCCAAGAAATCCTCAAAGCTATCCAAATATCCTCTTGCAGATTCTACAAAAAGAGTGTTTCAAAACTGCTCTTTGCAAAGAAAGGTTCAACTCTGTCAGTAGAGGGCACACATCACAAACAAGTTTCTGAGAATGCTTCTGTCTAGTTTTTATGGGAAGATATTTCCTTTTTCACCTTAGGCCTGAACGCAATCCAAATGTTCACTTACAGACACTACAAAAAGAGTGTTTCAAACCTGCTCTGTGAAAGGGAGTGTTCAATTCTGTGACTTGAATGCAAACATCACAAAGTAGTTTCTGACAATGCTGCTGTCTGCTTTTTATACGTATTCCCGTTTCCAACGAAATCCTCTAAGCTGGCCTAATACCCACTTGCATATTCCACAAAAAGAGTGTTTCAAAACTGCTCTCTCAAAAGAAAGGTTCAACTCTGTTTGCTGAGTAGATACATCATGAAAAAAGTTCTGACATTGCTTCTATCTAGTTTTTATTGGAAGATATCTCCTTTTTCACCGTAGACCTGAAAGCGCTCCAAATGTCCACTTCCAGATAGTACAAAAAGAGTGTTTCAAACCTGCTCTATGAAAGGGAATGTTCAACACTGGGACTTCAATTGAAACATCCCAAAGCAGTTTCTGAGAATGCTTCTGTCTAGAGTTTACATGAAGACATTCCCGTTTCCACCGAAATCCTCAAAGCTATCCAAATATCCTCTTGCAGATTTTACAAAAAGTGTGTTTCAGAACTGCTCTATCAAAACAAAGGTTCAACACTGTCAGTTGAGGGCACACATCACAAATAAGTTTCTGAGAATGCTGCTGTCTGCTTTTTGTATGTAATCCCGTTTCCAACGAAATCCTCCCAGCTAGCCAAATATCCACTTGCAGATTCCGCAAAAAGAGTGTTTCAAAACTGCTCCTTCAAAACGATGGTTTAGTTCTGTTAGTTGAGTACATACATCACTGATAACTTTCTGAGAATGCTTCTGTCTAGTTTTTATGGGAGGATATTTCCTTTTTCAACACAAGCCTGAATGCGCTCCGAATGGACACTTCCAGATATGACAAAAGGCGTGTTTCAAACCTGCTCTCTCAAAGGGAATGTTCAACTCTGTGACTTCAATGCAAACATCACAAAGAAGTTTCTGAGAATGCTGCTGTCTGCTTTTTACATGTATTCCCGTTTCCAACGAAATCCTCAAAGCTGCCCTAATATCCACTTGCATATTCCACAAAAAGAGTGTTGCAAAACTGCTCTCTCAAAAGAAAGGTTCAACTCTGTTAGCTGAGTAGATCCATCACAGAAAAGTTTCTGACGTTGCGTCTATCTAGATTTTCTTGGAAGATATTTCCATTTTCACCGTCGTCCTGAAAGCGCTCCAAATGTCCACTTCCAGGGAATGCAGAAAGAGTGTTTCCAACCTGCTCTATAAAAGGGAATGTTCAACACTGGGACTTCAATCGAAACATCCCAACGAAGTTTCTGAGAATGTTTCTGTCTAGAGTTTATATGAAGCCATTCCCGTTTGCAACGAAATCCTCAAAGCTATCCAAATATCCTCTTGCAGATTTTACAAAAAGAGTGTTTCAAAACTGCTCTATCAAAAGAAAGGTTCAACTCTGTTAGTTGAGGGCACACATCACAAATAAAATTCTGAGAATGCTTCTGTCTAGTTTTTACGGGAAGATATTTCCTTTTTCACCATACGCCTGAAAGCGCTCCAAATGTCCTCATCCAGATACTACAAAAAGAGTGTTTCCAACCTGCTCTATGAAAGGGAATGCTCAACTCTGTGACTTGAATGCAGACATCACAAAGAAGTTTCTGAGAATGCTGCTGTCTCCTTTTTATATGTAATCCCGTTTCCAACGAAATCCTCAAAGCTAGCCAAATATCCACTTGCAGATTCCACGAAAACAGTGTTTCAAAACTGCTCCTTCAAAACGATGGTTCAATCCTGTTAGTTGAGCAAACACATCACAAGTAAGTTTCTGAGAATGCTTCCGTCTAGTTTTTATGGGAAGATATTTCCTTTTTCAACATAGGCCTGAAAGCGCTCCAAATGTCCACTTCCAGATACTACAAAAAGAGTGTTTCAAATCTGCTCTATGAATGGGAATGTTCTACTCTGTGACTTGAATGCAACATCCCAAAGAAGTTTCTGAGAATGCTTCTGTCTAGCAGTTTATCTGAAGACATACCCGTTTCCAACGAAATCCTCCAAGCTATCCAAATATCCTCTTGCAGATTCTACAAAAAGAGTGTTTCAAAGCTGCTCTTTGCAAAGAAAGGTTCAACTCTGTCAGTAGAGGGCACACATCACGAACAAGTTTCTGAGAATGCTTCTGTCTAGTTTTTATGGGAAGATATTTCCTTTTTCACGTTACGCCTGAAAGCACGCCAAATGTTCACTTATAGACACTACAAAAAGAGTGTTTCAAACCTGCTCTGTGAAAGGGAATGTTCAACACTGTGACTTGAATTGAAACATCCCAAAGAAGTTTCTGAGAATGCTTCTGTCTAGAGTTTATCTGAAGACATTCCCGTTTCCCAAGAAATCCTCAAAGCTATCCAAATATCCTCTTGCAGATTCTACAAAAAGAGTGTTTCAAAACTGCTCTTTGCAAAGAAAGGTTCAACTCTGTCAGTAGAGGGCACACATCAAGAACAAGTTTCTGAGAATGCTTCTGTCTAGTTTTTATGGGAAGATATTTCCTTTTTCACGTTACGCCTGAAAGCACGCCAAATGTTCACTTATAGACACTACAAAAAGAGAGTTTCAAACCTGCTCTGTGAAAGGGAGTGTTCAATTCTGTGACTTGAATGCAAACATCACAAAGTAGTTTCTGACAATGCTGCTGTCTGCTTTTTATACGTATTCCCGTTTCCAACGAAATCCTCCAAGCTGGCCTAATACCCACTTGCATATTCCACAAAAGGAGTGTTTCAAAACTGCTCTCTCAAAAGAAAGGTTCAACTCTGTTTGCTGAGTAGATACATCATGAAAAAAGTTCTGACATTGCTTCTATCTAGTTTTTATTGGAAGATATCTCCTTTTTCACCGTAGACCTGAAAGCGCTCCAAATGTCCACTTCCAGATAGTACAAAAAGAGGGTTTCAAACCTGCTCTATGAAAGGGAATGTTCAACACTGGGACTTCAATTGAAACATCCCAAAGCAGTTTCTGAGAATGCTTCTGTGTAGAGTTTACATGAAGACATTCCCGTTTCCAACGAAATCCTCAAAGCTATCCAAATATCCTCTTGCAGATTTTACAAAAAGTGTGTTTCAGAACTGCTCTATCAAAACAAAGGTTCAACACTGTCAGTTGAGGGCACACATCACAAATAAGTTTCTGAGAATGCTTCTGTCTAGTTTTCATGGGAAGATATTTCCTTTTTCACCATAGGCCTGAAAGCGATCCAAATGTCCACATCCAGATACTACAAAAAGAGTGTTTCAAACCTGCTCTATGAAAGGGAATGTTCAACTCTGTGACTTGAATGCAAACATCACAAAGAAGTTTCTGAGAATGCTGCTGTCTGCTTTTTGTATGTAATCCCGTTTCCAACGAAATCCTCCCAGCTAGCCAAATATCCACTTGCAGATTCCGCAAAAAGAGTGTTTCAAAACTGCTCCTTCAAAACGATGGTTTAGTTCTGTTAGTTGAGTACATACATCACAAATAAGTTTCTGAGAATGCTTCTGTCTAGTTTTTATGGGAGGATATTTCCTTTTTCAACACAAGCCTGAATGCGCTCCGAATGGACACTTCCAGATATGACAAAAGGCGTGTTTCAAACCTGCTCTCTCAAAGGGAATGTTCAACTCTGTGACTTCAATACAAACATCACAAAGAAGTTTCTGAGAATGCTGCTGTCTGCTTTTTACATGTATTCCCGTTTCCAACGAAATCCTCAAAGCTGCCCTAATATCCACTTGCATATTCCACAAAAAGAGTGTTGCAAAACTGCTCTCTCAAAAGAAAGGTTCAACTCTGTTAGCTGAGTAGATCCATCACATAAAAGTTTCTGACGTTGCTTCTATCTAGATTTTCTTGGAAGATATTTCCATTTTCACCGTCGTCCTGAAAGCGCTCCAAATGTCCACTTCCAGGGAATGCAGAAAGAGTGTTTCCAACCTGCTCTATAAAAGGGAATGTTCAACACTGGGACTTCAATCGAAACATCCCAACGAAGTTTCTGAGAATGCTTCTGTCTAGAGTTTATATGAAGCCATTCCCGTTTGCAATGAAATCCTCAAAGCTATCCAAATATCCTCTTGCAGATTTTACAAAAAGAGTGTTTCAAAACTGCTCTATCAAAAGAAAGGTTCAACTCTGTTAGTTGAGGGCACACATCACAAATAAATTTCTGAGAATGCTTCTGTCTAGTTTTTACGGGAAGATATTTCCTTTTTCACCATAGGCATGAAAGCGCTCCAAATGTCCTCATCCAGATACTACAAAAAGAGTGTTTCCAACCTGCTCTATGAAAGGGAATGCTCAACTCTGTGAATTGAATGCAGACATCACAAAGAAGTTTCTGAGAATGCTGCTGTCTCCTTTGTATATGTAATCCCGTTTCCAACGAAATCCTCAAAGCTAGCCAAATATCCACTTGCAGATTCCACGAAAACAGTGTTTCAAAACTGCTCCTTCAAAACGATGGTTCAATCCTGTTAGTTGAGCAAACACATCACAAATAAGTTTCTGAGAATGCTTCTGTCTAGTTTTCATGGGAAGATATTTCCTTTTTCAACATAGGCCTGAAAGCGCTCCAAATGTCCACTTCCAGATACTACAAAAAGAGTGTTTCAAATCTGCTCTATGAATGGGAATGTTCTACTCTGTGACTTGAATGCAACATCCCAAAGAAGTTTCTGAGAATGCTTCTGTCTAGAGTTTATCTGAAGACATACCCGTTTCCAACGAAATCCTCAAAGCTATCCAAATATCCTCTTGCAGATTCTACAAAAAGAGTGTTTCAAAGCTGCTCTTTGCAAAGAAAGGTTCAACTCTGTCAGTAGAGGGCACACATCAAGAACAAGTTTCTGAGAACGCTTCTGTCTGGTTTTTATGGGAAGATATTTCCTTTTTCACGTTACGCCTGAAAGCACGCCAAATGTTCACTTATAGACACTACAAAAAGAGTGTTTCAAACCTGCTCTGTGAAAGGGAATGTTCAACACTGTGACTTCAATTGAAACATCCCAAAGAAGTTTCTGAGAATGCTTCTATCTAGAGTTTATCTGAAGACATTCCCGTTTCCCAAGAAATCCTCAAAGCTATCCAAATATCCTCTTGCAGATTCTACAAAAAGAGTGTTTCAAAACTGCTCTTTGCAAAGAAAGGTTCAACTCTGTCAGTAGAGGGCACACATCACAAACAAGTTTCTGAGAATGCTTCTGTCTAGTTTTTATGGGAAGATATTTCCTTTTTCACCTTAGGCCTGAAAGCAATCCAAATGTTCACTTACAGACACTACAAAAAGAGTGTTTCAAACCTGCTCTGTGAAAGGGAGTGTTCAATTCTGTGACTTGAATGCAAACATCACAAAGTAGTTTCTGACAATGCTGCTGTCTGCTTTTTATACGTATTCCCGTTTCCAACGAAATCCTCCAAGCTGGCCTAATACCCACTTGCATATTCCACAAAAAGAGTGTTTCAAAACTGCTCTCTCAAAAGAAAGGTTCAACTCTGTTTGCTGAGTAGATACATCATGAAAAAAGTTCTGACATTGCTTCTATCTAGTTTTTATTGGAAGATATCTCCTTTTTCACCGTAGACCTGAAAGCGCTCCAAATGTCCACTTCCAGATAGTACAAAAAGAGTGTTTCAAACCTGCTCTATGAAAGGGAATGTTCAACACTGGGACTTCAATTGAAACATCCCAAAGCAGTTTCTGAGAATGCTTCTGTCTAGAGTTTACATGAAGACATTCCCGTTTCCAACGAAATCCTCAAAGCTATCCAAATATCCTCTTGCAGATTTTACAAAAAGTGTGTTTCAGAACTGCTCTATCAAAACAAAGGTTCAACACTGTCAGTTGAGGGCACACATCACAAATAAGTTTCTGAGAATGCTGCTGTCTGCTTTTTGTATGTAATCCCGTTTCCAACGAAATCCTCCCAGCTAGCCAAATATCCACTTGCAGATTCCGCAAAAAGAGTGTTTCTAAACTGCCCTTCAAAACGATGGTTTAGTTCTGTTAGTTGAGTACATACATCACAGATAAGTTTCTGAGAATGCTTCTGTCTAGTTTTTATGGGAGGATATTTCCTTTTTCAACACAAGCCTGAATGCGCTCCGAATGGACACTTCCAGATATGACAAAAGGCGTGTTTCAAACCTGCTCTCTCAAAGGGGATGTTCAACTCTGTGACTTCAATGCAAACATCACAAAGAAGTTTCTGAGAATGCTGCTGTCTGCTTTTTACATGTATTCCCGTTTCCAACGAAATCCTCAAAGCTGCCCTAATATCCACTTGCATATTCCCCAAAAAGAGTGTTGCAAAACTGCTCTCTCAAAAGAAAGGTTCAACTCTGTTAGCTGAGTAGATCCATCACATAAAAGTTTCTGACGTTGCTTCTATCTAGATTTTCTTGGAAGATATTTCCATTTTCACCGTCGTCCTGAAAGCGCTCCAAATGTCCACTTCCAGGGAATGCAGAAAGAGTGTTTCCAACCTGCTCTATAAAAGGGAATGTTCAACACTGGGACTTCAATCGAAACATCCCAACGAAGTTTCTGAGAATGCTTCTGTCTAGAGTTTATATGAAGCCATTCCCGTTTGCAACGAAATCCTCAAAGCTATCCAAATATCCTCTTGCAGATTTTACAAAAAGAGTGTTTCAAAACTGCTCTATCAAAAGAAAGGTTCAACTCTGTTAGTTGAGGGCACACATCACAAATAAATTTCTGAGAATCTTCTGTCTAGTTTTTACGGGAAGATATTTCCTTTTTCACCATACGCCTGAAAGCGCTCCAAATGTCCTCATCCAGATACTACAAAAAGAGTGTTTCCAACCTTCTCTATGAAAGGGAATGCTCAACTCTGTGACTTGAATGCAGACATCACAAAGAAGTTTCTGAGAATGCTGCTGTCTCCTTTTTATATGTAATCCCGTTTCCAACGAAATCCTCAAAGCTAGCCAAATATCCACTTGCAGATTCCACGAAAACAGTGTTTCAAAACTGCTCCTTCAAAACGATGGTTCAATCCTGTTAGTTGAGCAAACACATCACAAATAAGTTTCTGAGAATGCTTCCGTGTAGTTTTTATGGGAAGATATTTCCTTTTTCAACATAGGCCTGAAAGCGCTCCAAATGTCCACTTCCAGATACTACAAAAAGAGTGTTTCAAATCTGCTCTATGAATGGGAATGTTCTACTCTGTGACTTGAATGCAACATCCCAAAGAAGTTTCTGAGAATGCTTCTGTCTAGAGTTTATCTGAAGACATACCCGTTTCCAACGAAATCCTCCAAGCTATCCAAATATCCTCTTGCAGATTCTACAAAAAGAGTGTTTCAAAGCTGCTCTTTGCAAAGAAAGGTTCAACTCTGTCAGTAGAGGGGACACATCAAGAACAAGTTTCTGAGAATGCTTCTGTCTAGTTTTTATGGGAAGATATTTCCTTTTTCACGTTAGGCCTGAAAGCACGCCAAATGTTCACTTATAGACACTACAAAAAGAGTGTTTCAAAACTGCTCTGTGAAAGGGAATGTTCAACACTGACTTCAATTGAAACATCCCAAAGAAGTTTCTGAGAATGCTTCTGTCTAGAGTTTATCTGAAGACATTCCCGTTTCCCAAGAAATCCTCAAAGCTATCCAAATATCCTCTTGCAGATTCTACAAAAAGAGTGTTTCAAAACTGCTCTTTGCAAAGAAAGTTTCAACTCTGTCAGTAGAGGGCACACATCACAAACAAGTTTCTGAGAATGCTTCTGTCTAGTTTTTATGGGAAGATATTTCCTTTTTCACCTTAGGCCTGAAAGCAATCCAAATGTTCACTTACAGACACTACAAAAAGAGTGTTTCAAACCTGCCCTGTGAAAGGGAGTGTTCAATTCTGTGACTTGAATGCAAACATCACAAAGTAGTTTCTGACAATGCTGCTGTCTGCTTTTTATACGTATTCCCGTTTCCAACGAAATCCTCCAAGCTGGCCTAATACCCACTTGCATATTCCACAAAAAGAGTGTTTCAAAACTGCTCTCTCAAAAGAAAGGTTCAACTCTGTTTGCTGAGTAGATACATCATGAAAAAAGTTCTGACATTGCTTCTATCTAGTTGTTATTGGAAGATATCTCCTTTTTCACCGTAGACCTGAAAGCGCTCCAAATGTCCACTTCCAGATAGTACAAAAAGAGTGTTTCAAACCTGCTCTATGAAAGGGAATGTTCAACACTGGGACTTCAATTGAAACATCCCAAAGCAGTTTCTGAGAATGCTTCTGTCTAGAGTTTACATGAAGACATTCCCGTTTCCAACGAAATCCTCAAAGCTATCCAAATATCCTCTTGCAGATTTTACAAAAAGTGTGTTTCAGAACTGCTCTATCAAAACAAAGGTTCAACACTGTCAGTTGAGGGCACACATCACAAATAAGTTTCTGAGAATGCTTCTGTCTAGTTTTCATGGGAAGATATTTCCTTTTTCACCATAGGCCTGAAAGCGATCCAAATGTCCACATCCAGATACTACAAAAAGAGTGTTTCCAACCTGCTCTATGAAAGGGAATGTTCAACTCTGTGACTTGAATGCAAACATCACAAAGAAGTTTCTGAGAATGCTGCTGTCTGCTTTTTGTATGTAATCCCGTTTCCAACGAAATCCTCCCAGCTAGCCAAATATCCACTTGCAGATTCCGCAAAAAGAGTGTTTCAAAACTGCTCCTTCAAAACGATGGTTTAGTTCTGTTAGTTGAGTACATACATCACAGATAAGTTTCTGAGAATGCTTCCGTCCTAGTTTTTATGGGAGGATATTTCCTTTTTCAACACAAGCCTGAATGCGCTCCGAATGGACACTTCCAGATATGACAAAAGGCGTGTTTCAAACCTGCTCTCTCAAAGGGAATGTTCAACTCTGTGACTTCAATGCAAACATCACAAAGAAGTTTCTGAGAATGCTGCTGTCTGCTTTTTACATGTATTCCCGTTTCCAACGAAATCCTCAAAGCTGCCCTAATATCCACTTGCATATTCCACAAAAAGAGTGTTGCAAAACTGCTCTCTCAAAAGAAAGGTTCAACTCTGTTAGCTGAGTAGATCCATCACAGAAAAGTTTCTGACGTTGCTCTATCCAGATTTTATTGGAAGATATTTCCATTTTCACCGTCGTCCTGAAAGCGCTCCAATTGTCCACTTCCAGGGAATGCAGAAAGAGTGTTTCCAACCTGCTCTATAAAAGGGAATGTTCAACACTGGGACTTCAATCGAAACATCCCGACGAAGTTTCTGAGAATGCTTTCTGTCTAGAGTTTATATGAAGCCATTCCCGTTTGCAACGAAATCCTCAAAGCTATCCAAATATCCTCTTGCAGATTTTACAAAAAGAGTGTTTCAAAACTGCTCTATCAAAAGAAAGGTTCAACTCTGTTAGTTGAGGGCACACATCACAAATAAATTTCTGAGAATGCTTCTGTCTAGTTTTTACGGGAAGATATTTCCTTTTTCACCATACGCCTGAAAGCGCTCCAAATGTCCTCATCCAGATACTACAAAAAGAGTGTTTCCAACGTGCTCTAGGAAAGGGAATGCTCAACTCTGTGAATTGAATGCAGACATCACAAAGAAGTTTCTGAGAATGCTGCTGTCTCCTTTTTATATGTAATCCCGTTTCCAACGAAATCCTCAAAGCTAGCCAAATATCCACTTGCAGATTCCACGAAAACAGTGTTTCAAAACTGCTCCTTCAAAACGATGGTTCAATCCTGTTAGTTGAGCAAACACATCACAAATAAGTTTCTGAGAATGCTTCCGTCTAGTTTTTATGGGAAGATATTTCCTTTTTCAACATAGGCCTGAAAGCGCTCCAAATGTCCACTTCCAGATACTACAAAAAGAGTGTTTCAAATCTGCTCTATGAATGGGAATGTTCTACTCTGTGACTTGAATGCAACATCCCAAAGAAGTTTCTGAGAATGCTTCTGTCTAGAGTTTATCTGAAGACATACCCGTTTCCAACGAAATCCTCCAAGCTATCCAAATATCCTCTTGCAGATTCTACAAAAAGAGTGTTTCAAAGCTGCTCTTTGCAAAGAAAGGTTCAACTCTGTCAGTAGAGGGGACACATCAAGAACAAGTTTCTGAGAATGCTTCTGTCTAGTTTTTATGGGAAGATATTTCCTTTTTCACGTTACGCCTGAAAGCACGCCAAATGTTCACTTATAGACACTACAAAAAGAGTGTTTCAAACCTGCTCTGTGAAAGGGAATGTTCAACACTGTGACTTCAATTGAAACATCCCAAAGAAGTTTCTGAGAATGCTTCTGTCTAGAGTTTATCTGAAGACATTCCCGTTTCCCAAGAAATCCTCAAAGCTATCCAAATATCCTCTTGCAGATTCTACAAAAAGAGTGTTTCAAAACTGCTCTTTGCAAAGAAAGGTTCAACTCTGTCAGTAGAGGGCACACATCACAAACAAGTTTCTGAGAATGCTTCTGTCTAGTTTTTATGGGAAGATATTTCCTTTTTCACCTTAGGCCTGAAAGCAATCCATATGTTCACTTACAGACACTACAAAAAGAGTGTTTCAAACCTGCTCTGTGAAAGGGAGTGTTCAATTCTGTGACTTGAATGCAAACATCACAAAGTAGTTTCTGACAATGCTGCTGTCTGCTTTTTATACGTATTCCCGTTTCCAACGAAATCCTCCAAGCTGGCCTAATACCCACTTGCATATTCCACAAAAAGAGTGTTTCAAAACTGCTCTCTCAAAAGAAAGGTTCAACTCTGTTTGCTGAGTAGATACATCATGAAAAAAGTTCTGACATTGCTTCTATCTAGTTTTTATTGGAAGATATCTCCTTTTTCACCGTAGACCTGAAAGCGCTCCAAATGTCCACTTCCAGATAGTACAAAAAGAGTGTTTCAAACCTCCTCTATGAAAGGGAATGTTCAACACTGGGACTTCAATTGAAACATCCCAAAGCAGTTTCTGAGAATGCTTCTGTCTAGAGTTTACATGAAGACATTCCCGTTTCCAACGAAATCCTCAAAGCTATCCAAATATCCTCTTGCAGATTTTACAAAAAGTGTGTTTCAGAACTGCTCTATCAAAACAAAGGTTCAACACTGTCAGTTGAGGGCACACATCACAAATAAGTTTCTGAGAATGCTTCTGTCTAGTTTTCATGGGAAGATATTTCCTTTTTCACCATAGGCCTGAAAGCGATCCAAATGTCCACATCCAGATACTACAAAAAGAGTGTTTCAAACCTGCTCTATGAAAGGGAATGTTCAACTCTGTGACTTGAATGCAAACATCACAAAGAAGTTTCTGAGAATGCTGCTGTCTGCTTTTTGTATGTAATCCCGTTTCCAACGAAATCCTCCCAGCTAGCCAAATATCCACTTGCAGATTCCGCAAAAAGAGTGTTTCAAAACTGCTCCTTCAAAACGATGGTTTAGTTCTGTTAGTTGAGTACATACATCACAGATAAGTTTCTGAGAATGCTTCTGTCTAGTTTTTATGGGAGGATATTTCCTTTTTCAACACAAGCCTGAATGCGCTCCGAATGGACACTTCCAGATATGACAAAAGGCGTGTTTCAAACCTGCTCTCTCAAAGGGAATGTTCAACTCTGTGACTTCAATGCAAACATCACAAAGAAGTTTCTGAGAATGCTGCTGTCTGCTTTTTACATGTATTCCCGTTTCCAACGAAATCCTCAAAGCTGCCCTAATATCCACTTGCATATTCCACAAAAAGAGTGTTGCAAAACTGCTCTCTCAAAAGAAAGGTTCAACTCTGTTAGCTGAGTAGATCCATCACATAAAAGTTTCTGACATTGCTTCTATCTAGATTTTCTTGGAAGATATTTCCATTTTCACCGTCGTCCTGAAAGCGCTCCAAATGTCCACTTCCAGGGAATGCAAAAAGAGTGTTTCCAACCTGCTCTATAAAAGGGAATGTTCAACACTGGGACTTCAATCGAAACATCCCAACGAAGTTTCTGAGAATGCTTCTGTCTAGAGTTTATATGAAGCCATTCCCGTTTGCAATGAAATCCTCAAAGCTATCCAAATATCCTCTTGCAGATTTTACAAAAAGAGTGTTTCAAAACTGCTCTATCAAAAGAAAGGTTCAACTCTGTTAGTTGAGGGCACACATCACAAATAAATTTCTGAGAATGCTTCTGTCTAGTTTTCATGGGAAGATATTTCCTTTTTCACCATAGGCCTGAAAGCGATCCAAATGTCCACATCCAGATACTACAAAAAGAGTGTTTCAAACCTGCTCTATGAAAGGGAATGTTCAACTCTGTGACTTGAATGCAAACATCACAAAGAAGTTTCTGAGAATGCTGCTCTCTGCTTTTTGTATGTAATCCCGTTTCCAACGAAATCCTCCCAGCTAGCCAAATATCCACTTGCAGATTCCGCAAAAAGAGTGTTTCAAAACTGCTCCTTCAAAACGATGGTTTAGTTCTGTTAGTTGAGTACATACATCACACATAAGTTTCTGAGAATGCTTCTGTCTAGTTTTTATGGGAGGATATTTCCTTTTTCAACACAAGCCTGAATGCGCTCCGAATGGACACTTCCAGATATGACAAAAGGCGTGTTTCAAACCTGCTCTCTCAAAGGGAATGTTCAACTCTGTGACTTCAATGCAAACATCACAAAGAAGTTTCTGAGAATGCTGCTGTCTGCTTTTTACATGTATTCCCGTTTCCAACGAAATCCTCAAAGCTGCCCTAATATCCACTTGCATATTCCACAAAAAGAGTGTTGCAAAACTGCTCTCTCAAAAGAAAGGTTCAACTCTGTTAGCTGAGTAGATCCATCACATAAAAGTTTCTGACGTTGCTTCTATCCAGATTTTATTGGAAGATATTTCCATTTTCACCGTCGTCCTGAAAGCGCTCCAAATGTCCACTTCCAGGGAATGCAGAAAGACTGTTTCCAACCTGCTCTATAAAAGGGAATGTTCAACACTGGGACTTCAATCGAAACATCCCAACGAAGTTTCTGAGAATGCTTCTGTCTAGAGTTTATATGAAGCCATTCCCATTTGCAATGAAATCCTCAAAGCTATCCAAATATCCTCTTGCAGATTTTACAAAAAGAGTGTTTCAAAACTGCTCTATCAAAAGAAAGGTTCAACTCTGTTAGTTGAGGGCACACATCACAAATAAATTTCTGAGAATGCTTCTGTCTAGTTTTTACGGGAAGATATTTCCTTTTTCACCATACGCCTGAAAGCGCTCCAAATGTCCTCATCCAGATACTACAAAAAGAGTGTTTCCAACCTGCTCTATGAAAGGGAATGCTCAACTCTGTGAATTGAATGCAGACATCACAAAGAAGTTTCTGAGAATGCTGCTGTCTGCTTTTTATATGTAATCCCGTTTCCAACGAAATCCTCAAAGCTAGACAAATATCCACTTGCAGATTCCACAAAAGGAGTGTTTCAAAACTGCTCTTTCAAAACGATGGTTCAATTCTGTTAGTTGAGTACACACATCACAAATAAGTTTCTGAGAATGCTTCTATCTAGTTTTTATGGGAGGATATTTCCTTTTTCAACACAAGCCGGAATGCGCTCCAAATGGACAACTTGCAGATATGACAAAAGGCGTGTTTCAAACCTGCTCTATGAAAGGGAATGTTCAAATCTGGGACTTCAATGCAAACATCACAAAGAAGTTTCTGAGAATGCTGCTGTCTGCTTTTTATATGTAATCCCGTTTCCAACGAAATCCTCAAAGCTAGACAAATATCCACTTGCAGATTCCACAAAAAGAGTGTTTCAAAACTGCTCTTTCAAAACGATGATTCAATTCTGTTAGTTGAGTACACACATCACAAATAAGTTTCTCAGAATGCTTCTGTCTAGTTTTTATGGGAGGATATTTCCTTTTTCAACACAAGCCTGAATGCGCTCCGAATGGACACTTCCAGATATGACAAAAGGCGTGTTTCAAACCTGCTCTCTCAAAGGGAATGTTCAACTCTGTGACTTCAATGCAAACATCACAAAGAAGTTTCTGAGAATGCTGCTGTCTGCTTTTTACATGTATTCCCGTTTCCAACGAAATCCTCAAAGCTGCCCTAATATCCACTTGCATATTCCACAAAAAGAGTGTTGCAAAACTGCTCTCTCAAAAGAAAGGTTCAACTCTGTTAGCTGAGTAGATCCATCACATAAAAGTTTCTGACGTTGCTTCTATCTAGATTTTATTGGAAGATATTTCCATTTTCACCGTCGTCCTGAAAGCGCTCCAAATGTCCACTTCCAGGGAATGCAGAAAGAGTGTTTCCAACCTGCTCTATAAAAGGGAATGTTCAACACTGGGACTTCAATCGAAACATCCCAACGAAGTTTCTGAGAATGCTTCTGTCTAGAGTTTACATGAAGACATTCCCGTTTCCAACGAAATCCTCAAAGCTATCCAAATATCCTCTTGCAGATTTTACAAAAAGAGTGTTTCAAAACTGCTCTATCAAAAGAAAGGTTCAACTCTGTTAGTTGAGGGCACACATCACAAATAAACTTCTGAGAATGCTTCTGTCTAGTTTTTACGGGAAGATATTTCCTTTTTCACCATACGCCTGAAAGCGCTCCAAATGTCCTCATCCAGATACTACAAAAAGAGTGTTTCCAACCTGCTCTATGAAAGGGAATGCTCAACTCTGTGAATTGAATGCAGACATCACAAAGAAGTTTCTGAGAATGCTGCTGTCTCCTTTGTATATGTAATCCCGTTTCCAACGAAATCCTCAAAGCTAGCCAAATATCCACTTGCAGATTCCACGAAAACAGTGTTTCAAAACTGCTCCTTCAAAACGATGGTTCAATCCTGTTAGTTGAGCAAACACATCACAAATAAGTTTCTGAGAATGCTTCCGTCTAGTTTTTATGGGAAGATATTTCCTTTTTCAACATAGGCCTGAAAGCGCTCCAAATGTCCACTTCCAGATACTACAAAAAGAGTGTTTCAAATCTGCTCTATGAATGGGAATGTTCTACTCTGTGACTTGAATGCAACATCCCAAAGAAGTTTCTGAGAATGCTTCTGTCTAGAGTTTATCTGAAGACATACCCGTTTCCAACGAAATCCTCCAAGCTATCCAAATATCCTCTTGCAGATTCTACAAAAAGAGTGTTTCAAAGCTGCTCTTTGCAAAGAAAGGTTCAACTCTGTCAGTAGAGGGGACACATCAAGAACAAGTTTCTGAGAATGCTTCTGTCTAGTTTTTATGGGAAGATATTTCCTTTTTCACGTTACGCCTGAAAGCACGCCAAATGTTCACTTATAGACACTACAAAAAGAGTGTTTCAAACCTGCTCTGTGAAAGGGAATGTTCAACACTGACTTCAATTGAAACATCCCGAAGAAGTTTCTGAGAATGCTTCTGTCTAGAGTTTATCTGAAGACATTCCCGTTTCCCAAGAAATCCTCAAAGCTATCCAAATATCCTCTTGCAGATTCTACAAAAAGAGTGTTTCAAAACTGCTCTTTGCAAAGAAAGTTTCAACTCTGTCAGTAGAGGGCACACATCACAAACAAGTTTCTGAGAATGCTTCTGTCTAGTTTTTATGGGAAGATATTTCCTTTTTCACCTTAGGCCTGAAAGCAATCCAAATGTTCACTTACAGACACTACAAAAAGAGTGTTTCAAACCTGCTCTGTGAAAGGGAGTGTTCAATTCTGTGACTTGAATGCAAACATCACAAAGTAGTTTCTGACAATGCTGCTGTCTGCTTTTTATACGTATTCCCGTTTCCAACGAAATCCTCCAAGCTGGCCTAATACCCACTTGCATATTCCACAAAAAGAGTGTTTCAAAACTGCTCTCTCAAAAGAAAGGTTCAACTCTGTTTGCTGAGTAGATACATCATGAAAAAAGTTCTGACATTGCTTCTATCTAGTTTTTATTGGAAGATATCTCCTTTTTCACCGTAGACCTGAAAGCGCTCCAAATGTCCACTTCCAGATAGTACAAAAAGAGTGTTTCAAACCTGCTCTATGAAAGGGAATGTTCAACACTGGGACTTCAATTGAAACATCCCAAAGCAGTTTCTGAGAATGCTTCTGTCCAGAGTTTACATGAAGACATTCCCGTTTCCAACGAAATCCTCAAAGCTATCCAAATATCCTCTTGCAGATTTTACAAAAAGTGTGTTTCAGAACTGCTCTATCAAAACAAAGGTTCAACACTGTCAGTTGAGGGCACACATCACAAATAAGTTTCTGAGAATGCTTCTGTCTAGTTTTCATGGGAAGATATTTCCTTTTTCACCATAGGCCTGAAAGCGATCCAAATGTCCACATCCAGATACTACAAAAAGAGTGTTTCAAACCTGCTCTATGAAAGGGAATGTTCAACTCTGTGACTTGAATGCAAACATCACAAAGAAGTTTCTGAGAATGCTGCTCTCTGCTTTTTGTATGTAATCCCGTTTCCAACGAAATCCTCCCAGCTAGCCAAATATCCACTTGCAGATTCCGCAAAAAGAGTGTTTCAAAACTGCTCCTTCAAAACGATGGTTTAGTTCTGTTAGTTGAGTACATACATCACAGATAAGTTTCTGAGAATGCTTCTGTCTAGTTTTTATGGGAGGATATTTCCTTTTTCAACACAAGCCTGAATGCGCTCCGAATGGACACTTCCAGATATGACAAAAGGCGTGTTTCAAACCTGCTCTCTCAAAGGGAATGTTCAACTCTGTGACTTCAATGCAAACATCACAAAGAAGTTTCTGAGAATGCTGCTGTCTGCTTTTTACATGTATTCCCGTTTCCAACGAAATCCTCAAAGCTGCCCTAATATCCACTTGCATATTCCACAAAAAGAGTGTTGCAAAACTGCTCTCTCAAAAGAAAGGTTCAACTCTGTTAGCTGAGTAGATCCATCACAGAAAAGTTTCTGACGTTGCTTCTATCTAGATTTTCTTGGAAGATATTTCCATTTTCACCGTCGTCCTGAAAGCGCTCCAAATGTCCACTTCCAGGGAATGCAGAAAGAGTGTTTCCAACCTGCTCTATAAAAGGGAATGTTCAACACTGGGACTTCAATCGAAACATCCCAACGAAGTTTCTGAGAATGCTTCTGTCTAGAGTTTATATGAAGCCATTCCCGTTTGCAACGAAATCCTCAAAGCTATCCAAATATCCTCTTGCAGATTTCACAAAAAGAGTGTTTCAAAACTGCTCTATCAAAAGAAAGGTTCAACTCTGTTAGTTGAGGGCACACATCACAAATAAATTTCTGAGAATGCTTCTGTCTAGTTTTTACGGGAAGATATTTCCTTTTTCACCATACGCCTGAAAGCGCTACAAAAGTCCTCATCCAGATACTACAAAAAGAGAGTTTCCAACCTGCTCTATGAAAGGGAATGCTCAACTCTGTGAATTGAATGCAGACATCACAAAGAAGTTTCTGAGAATGCTGCTGTCTCCTTTTTATATGTAATCCCGTTTCCAACAAAATCCTCCCAGCTAGCCAAATATCCACTTGCAGATTCCGCAAAAAGAGTGTTTCAAAACTGCTCCTTCAAAACGATGGTTTAGTTCTGTTAGTTGAGTACATACATCACAAATAAGTTTCTGAGAATGCTTCTGTCTAGTTTTTATGGGAGGATATTTCCTTTTTCAACACAAGCCTGAATGCGCTCCGAATGGACACTTCCAGATATGACAAAAGGCGTGTTTCAAACCTGCTCTCTCAAAGGGAATGTTCAACTCTGTGACTTCAATGCAAACATCACAAAGAAGTTTCTGAGAATGCTGCTGTCTGCTTTTTACATGTATTCCCGTTTCCAACGAAATCCTCAAAGCTGCCCTAATATCCACTTGCATATTCCACAAAAAGAGTGTTGCAAAACTGCTCTCTCAAAAGAAAGGTTCAACTCTGTTAGCTGAGTAGATCCATCACATAAAAGTTTCTGACGTTGCTTCTATCTAGATTTTCTTGGAAGATATTTCCATTTTCACCGTCGTCCTGAAAGCCCTCCAAATGTCCACTTCCAGGGAATGCAGAAAGAGTGTTTCCAACCTGCTCTATAAAAGGGAATGTTCAACACTGGGACTTCAATCGAAACATCCCAACGAAGTTTCTGAGAATGCTTCTGTCTAGAGTTTATATGAAGCCATTCCCGTTTGCAACGAAATCCTCAAGCTATCCAAATATCCTCTTGCAGATTTTACAAAAAGAGTGTTTCAAAACTGCTCTATCAAAAGAAAGGTTCAACTCTGTTAGTTGAGGGCACACATCACAAATAAATTTCTGAGAATGCTTCTGTCTAGTTTTTACGGGAAGATATTTCCTTTTTCACCATAGGCCTGAAAGCGCTCCAAATGTCCTCATCCAGATACTACAAAAAGAGTGTTTCCAACCTGCTCTATGAAAGGGAATGCTCAACTCTGTGAATTGAATGCAGACATCACAAAGAAGTTTCTGAGAATGCTGCTGTCTCCTTTTTATATGTAATCCCGTTTCCAACGAAATCCTCAAAGCTAGCCAAATATCCACTTGCAGATTCCACGAAAACAGTGTTTCAAAACTGCTCCTTCAAAACGATGGTTCAATCCTGTTAGTTGAGCAAACACATCACAAATAAGTTTCTGAGAATGCTTCCGTCTAGTTTTTATGGGAAGATATTTCCTTTTTCAACATAGGCCTGAAAGCGCTCCAAATGTCCACTTCCAGATACTACAAAAAGAGTGTTTCAAATCTGCTCTATGAATGGGAATGTTCTACTCTGTGACTTGCATGCAACATCCCAAAGAAATTTCTGAGAATGCTTCTGTCTAGAGTTTATCTGAAGACATACCCGTTTCCAACGAAATCCTCCAAGCTATCCAAATATCCTCTTGCAGATTCTACAAAAAGTGTGTTTCAAAGCTGCTCTTTGCAAAGAAAGGTTCAACTCTGTCAGTAGAGGGCACACATCACGAACAAGTTTCTGAGAATGCTTCTGTCTAGTTTTTATGGGAAGATATTTCCTTTTTCACGTTAGGCCTGAAAGCACGCCAAATGTTCACTTATAGACACTACAAAAAGAGTGTTTCAAACGTGCTCTGTGAAAGGGAATGTTCAACACTGTGACTTCAATTGAAATATCCCAAAGAAGTTTCTGAGAATGCTTCTGTCTAGAGTTTATCTGAAGACATTCCCGTTTCCCAAGAAATCCTCAAAGCTATCCAAATATCCTCTTGCAGATTCTACAAAAAGAGTGTTTCAAAACTGCTCTTTGCAAAGAAAGGTTCAACTCTGTCAGTAGAGGGCACACATCACAAACAAGTTTCTGAGAATGCTTCTGTCTAGTTTTTATGGGAAGATATTTCCTTTTTCACCTTAGGCCTGAAAGCAATCCAAATGTTCACTTACAGACACTACAAAAAGAGTGTTTCAAACCTGCTCTGTGAAAGGGAGTGTTCAGTTCTGTGACTTGAATGCAAACATCACAAAGTAGTTTCTGACAATGCTGCTGTCTGCTTTTTATACGTATTCCCGTTTCCAACGAAATCCTCCAAGCTGGCCTAATACCCACTTTCATATTCCACAAAAAGAGTGTTTCAAAACTGCTCTCTCAAAAGAAAGGTTCAACTCTGTTTGCTGAGTAGATACATCATGAAAAAAGTTCTGACATTGCTTCTATCTAGTTTTTATTGGAAGATATCTCCTTTTTCACCGTAGACCTGAAAGCGCTCCAAATGTCCACTTCCAGATAGTACAAAAAGAGTGTTTCAAACCTGCTCTATGAAAGGGAATGTTCAACACTGGGACTTCAATTGAAACATCCCAAAGCAGTTTCTGAGAATGCTTCTGTCTAGAGTTTACATGAAGACATTCCCGTTTCCAACGAAATCCTCAAAGCTATCCAAATATCCTCTTGCAGATTTTACAAAAAGTGTGTTTCAGAACTGCTCTATCAAAACAAAGGTTCAACACTGTCAGTTGAGGGCACACATCACAAATAAGTTTCTGAGAATGCTTCTGTCTAGTTTTCATGGGAAGATATTTCCTTTTTCACCATAGGCCTGAAAGCGATCCAAATGTCCACATCCAGATACTACAAAAAGAGTGTTTCAAACCTGCTCTATGAAAGGGAATGTTCAACTCTGTGACTTGAATGCAAACATCACAAAGAAGTTTCTGAGAATGCTGCTGTCTGCTTTTTGTATGTAATCCCGTTTCCAACGAAATCCTCCCAGCTAGCCAAATATCCACTTGCAGATTCCGCAAAAAGAGTGTTTCAAAACTGCTCCTTCAAAACGATGGTTTAGTTCTGTTAGTTGAGTACATACATCACAGATAAGTTTCTGAGAATGCTTCTGTCTAGTTTTTATGGGAGGATATTTCCTTTTTCAACACAAGCCTGAATGCGCTCCGAATGGACACTTCCAGATATGACAAAAGGCGTGTTTCAAACCTGCTCTCTCAAAGGGAATGTTCAACTCTGTGACTTCAATGCAAACATCACAAAGAAGTTTCTGAGAATGCTGCTGTCTGCTTTTTACATGTATTCCCGTTTCCAACGAAATCCTCAAAGCTGCCCTAATATCCACTTGCATATTCCACAAAAAGAGTGTTGCAAAACTGCTCTCTCAAAAGAAAGTTTCAACTCTGTTAGCTGAGTAGATCCATCACAGAAAAGTTTCTGACATTGCTTCTATCTAGATTTTCTTGGAAGATATTTCCATTTTCACCGTCGTCCTGAAAGCGCTCCAAATGTCCACTTCCAGGGAATGCAGAAAGAGTGTTTCCAACCTGCTCTATAAAAGGGAATGTTCAACACTGGGACTTCAATCGAAACATCCCAACGAAGTTTCTGAGAATGCTTCTGTCTAGGAGTTTATATGAAGCCATTCCCGTTTGCAACGAAATCCTCAAAGCTATCCAAATATCCTCTTGCAGATTTTACAAAAAGAGTGTTTCAAAACTGCTCTATCAAAAGAAAGGTTCAACTCTGTTAGTTGAGGGCACACATCACAAATAAACTTCTGAGAATGCTTCTGTCTAGTTTTTACGGGAAGATATTTCCCTTTTCACCATACGCCTGAAAGCGCTCCAAATGTCCTCATCCAGATACTACAAAAAGAGTGTTTCCAACCTGCTCTATGAAAGGGAATGCTCAACTCTGTGAATTGAATGCAGACATCACAAAGAAGTTTCTGAGAATGCTGCTGTCTCCTTTTTATATGTAATCCCGTTTCCAACGAAATCCTCAAAGCTAGCCAAATATCCACTTGCAGATTCCACGAAAACAGTGTTTCAAAACTGCTCCTTCAAAACGATGGTTCAATCCTGTTAGTTGAGCAAACACATCACAATTAAGTTTCTGAGAATGCTTCCGTCTAGTTTTTATTGGAAGATATTTCCTTTTTCAACATAGGCCTGAAAGCGCTCCAAATGTCCACTTCCAGATACTACAAAAAGAGTGTTTCAAATCTGCTCTATGAATGGGAATGTTCTACTCTGTGACTTGAATGCAGCATCCCAAAGAAGTTTCTGAGAATGCTTCTGTCTAGAGTTTATCTGAAGACATACCCGTTTCCAACGAAATCCTCCAAGCTATCCAAATATCCTCTTGCAGATTCTACAAAAAGAGTGTTTCAAAGCTGCTCTTTGCAAAGAAAGGTTCAACTCTGTCAGTAGAGGGGACACATCAAGAACAAGTTTCTGAGAATGCTTCTGTCTAGTTTTTATGGGAAGATATTTCCTTTTTCACGTTAGGCCTGAAAGCACGCCAAATGTTCACTTATAGACACTACAAAAAGAGTGTTTCAAACCTGCTCTGTGAAAGGGAATGTTCAACACTGTGACTTCAATTGAAACATCCCAAAGAAGTTTCTGAAAATGCTTCTGTCTAGAGTTTATCTGAAGACATTCCCGTTTCCCAAGAAATCCTCAAAGCTATCCAAATATCCTCTTGCAGATTCTACAAAAAGAGTGTTTCAAAACTGCTCTTTGCAAAGAAAGGTTCAACTCTGTCAGTAGAGGGCACACATCACAAACAAGTTTCTGAGAATGCTTCTGTCTAGTTTTTATGGGAAGATATTTCCTTTTTCACCTTAGGCCTGAAATCAATCCAAATGTTCACTTACAGACACTACAAAAAGAGTGTTTCAAACCTGCTCTGTGAAAGGGAGTGTTCAATTCTGTGACTTGAATGCAAACATCACAAAGTAGTTTGCTGACAATGCTGCTGTCTGCTTTTTATACGTATTCCCGTTTCCAACGAAATCCTCCAAGCTGGCCTAATACCCACTTGCATATTCCACAAAAGGAGTGTTTCAAAACTGCTCTCTCAAAAGAAAGGTTCAACTCTGTTTGCTGAGTAGATACATCATGAAAAAAGTTCTGACATTGCTTCTATCTAGTTTTTATTGGAAGATATCTCCTTTTTCACCGTAGACCTGAAAGCGCTCCAAATGTCCACTTCCAGATAGTACAAAAAGAGTGTTTCAAACCTGCTCTATGAATGGGAATGTTCAACACTGGGACTTCAATTGAAACATCCCAAAGCAGTTTCTGAGAATGCTTCTGTGTAGAGTTTACATGAAGACATTCCCGTTTCCAACGAAATCCTCAAAGCTATCCAAATATCCTCTTGCAGATTTTACAAAAAGTGTGTTTCAGAACTGCTCTATCAAAACAAAGGTTCAACACTGTCAGTTGAGGGCACACATCACAAATAAGTTTCTGAGAATGCTTCTGTCTAGTTTTCATGGGAAGATATTTCCTTTTTCACCATAGGCCTGAAAGCGATCCAAATGTCCACATCCAGATACTACAAAAAGAGTGTTTCAAACCTGCTCTATGAAAGGGAATGTTCAACTCTGTGACTTGAATGCAAACATCACAAAGAAGTTTCTGAGAATGCTGCTGTCTGCTTTTTGTATGTAATCCCGTTTCCAACGAAATCCTCCCAGCTAGCCAAATATCCACTTGCAGATTCCGCAAAAAGAGTGTTTCAAAACTGCTCCTTCAAAACGATGGTTTAGTTCTGTTAGTTGAGTACATACATCACAGATAAGTTTCTGAGAATGCTTCTGTCTAGTTTTTATGGGAGGATATTTCCTTTTTCAACACAAGCCTGAATGCGCTCCGAATGGACACTTCCAGATATGACAAAAGGCGTGTTTCAAACCTGCTCTCTCAAAGGGAATGTTCAACTCTGTGACTTCAATGCAAACATCACAAAGAAGTTTCTGAGAATGCTGCTGTCTGCTTTTTACATGTATTCCCGTTTCCAACGAAATCCTCAAAGCTGCCCTAATATCCACTTGCATATTCCACAAAAAGAGTGTTGCAAAACTGCTCTCTCAAAAGAAAGGTTCAACTCTGTTAGCTGAGTAGATCCATCACAGAAAAGTTTCTGACGTTGCTTCTATCTAGATTTTCTTGGAAGATATTTCCATTTTCACCGTCGTCCTGAAAGCGCTCCAAATGTCCACTTCCAGGGAATGCAGAAAGAGTGTTTCCAACCTGCTCTATAAAAGGGAATGTTCAACACTGGGACTTCAATCGAAACATCCCAACGAAGTTTCTGAGAATGCTTCTGTCTAGAGTTTATATGAAGCCATTCCCGTTTGCAACGAAATCCTCAAAGCTATCCAAATATCCTCTTGCAGATTTTACAAAAAGAGTGTTTCAAAACTGCTCTATCAAAAGAAAGGTTCAACTCTGTTAGTTGAGGCACACATCACAAATAAATTTCTGAGAATGCTTCTGTCTAGTTTTTACGGGAAGATATTTCCTTTTTCACCATACGCCTGAAAGCGCTCCAAATGTCCTCATCCAGATACTACAAAAAGAGTGTTTCCAACCTGCTCTATGAAAGGGAATGCTCAACTCTGTGACTTGAATGCAGACATCACAAAGAAGTTTCTGAGAATGTTGCTGTCTCCTTTTTATATGTAATCCCGTTTCCAACGAAATCCTCAAAGCTAGCCAAATATCCACTTGCAGATTCCACGAAAACAGTGTTTCAAAACTGCTCCTTCAAAACGATGGTTCAATTCTGTTAGTTGAGCAAACACATCACAAATAAGTTTCTGAGAATGCTTCCGTCTAGTTTTTATGGGAAGATATTTCCTTTTTCAACATAGGCCTGAAAGCGCTCCAAATGTCCACTTCCAGATACTACAAAAAGAGTGTTTCAAATCTGCTCTATGAATGGGAATGTTCTACTCTGTGACTTGAATGCAACATCCCAAAGAAGTTTCTGAGAATGCTTCTGTCTAGAGTTTATCTGAAGACATACCCGTTTCCAACGAAATCCTCAAAGCTATCCACATATCCTCTTGCAGATTCTACAAAAAGAGTGTTTCAAAGCTGCTCTTTGCAAAGAAAGGTTCAACTCTGTCAGTAGAGGGCACACATCACAAACAAGTTTCTGAGAATGCTTCTGTCTGGTTTTTATGGGAAGATATTTCCTTTTTCACGTTACGCCTGAAAGCACGCCAAATGTTCACTTATAGACACTACAAAAAGAGTGTTTCAAACCTGCTCTGTGAAAGGGAATGTTCAACACTGTGACTTCAATTGAAACATCCCAAAGAAGTTTCTGAGAATGCTTCTGTCTAGAGTTTATCTGAAGACATTCCCGTTTCCCAAGAAATCCTCAAAGCTATCCAAATATCCTCTTGCAGATTCTACAAAAAGAGTGTTTCAAAACTGCTCTTTGCAAAGAAAGGTTCAACTCTGTCAGTAGAGGGCACACATCACAAACAAGTTTCTGAGAATGCTTCTGTCTAGTTTTTATGGGAAGATATTTCCTTTTTCACCTTAGGCCTGAAAGCAATCCAAATGTTCACTTACAGACACTACAAAAAGAGTGTTTCAAACCTGCTCTGTGAAAGGGAGTGTTCAATTCTGTGACTTGAATGCCAACATCACAAAGTAGTTTCTGACAATGCTGCTGTCTGCTTTTTATACGTATTCCCGTTTCCAACGAAATCCTCCAAGCTGGCCTAATACCCACTTGCATATTCCACAAAAAGAGTGTTTCAAAACTGCTCTCTCAAAAGAAAGGTTCAACTCTGTTTGCTGAGTAGATACATCATGAAAAAAGTTCTGACATTGCTTCTATCTAGTTTTTATTGGAAGATATCTCCTTTTTCACCGTAGACCTGAAAGCGCTCCAAATGTCCACTTCCAGATAGTACAAAAAGAGTGTTTCAAACCTGCTCTATGAAAGGGAATGTTCAACACTGGGACTTCAATTGAAACATCCCAAAGCAGTTTCTGAGAATGCTTCTGTCTAGAGTTTACATGAAGACATTCCCGTTTCCAACGAAATCCTCAAAGCTATCCAAATATCCTCTTGCAGATTTTACAAAAAGTGTGTTTCAGAACTGCTCTATCAAAACAAAGGTTCAACACTGTCAGTTGAGGGCACACATCACAAATAAGTTTCTGAGAATGCTTCTGTCTAGTTTTCATGGGAAGATATTTCCTTTTTCACCATAGGCCTGAAAGCGATCCAAATGTCCACATCCAGATACTACAAAAAGAGTGTTTCAAACCTGCTCTATGAAAGGGAATGTTCAACTCTGTGACTTGAATGCAAACATCACAAAGAAGTTTCTGAGAATGCTGCTGTCTGCTTTTTGTATGTAATCCCGTTTCCAACGAAATCCTCCCAGCTAGCCAAATATCCACTTGCAGATTCCGCAAAAAGAGTGTTTCAAAACTGCTCCTTCAAAACGATGGTTTAGTTCTGTTAGTTGAGTAAATACATCACAGATAAGTTTCTGAGAATGCTTCTGTCTAGTTTTTATGGGAGGATATTTCCTTTTTCAACACAAGCCTGAATGCGCTCCGAATGGACACTTCCAGATATGACAAAAGGCGTGTTTCCAACCTGCTCTCTCAAAGGGAATGTTCAACTCTGTGACTTCAATGCAAACATCACAAAGAAGTTTCTGAGAATGCTGCTGTCTGCTTTTTACATGTATTCCCGTTTCCAACGAAATCCTCAAAGCTGCCCTAATATCCACTTGCATATTCCACAAAAAGAATGTTGCAAAACTGCTCTCTCAAAAGAAAGGTTCAACTCTGTTAGCTGAGTAGATCCATCACATAAAAGTTTCTGACATTGCTTCTATCTAGATTTTCTTGGAAGATATTTCCATTTTCACCGTCGTCCTGAAAGCGCTCCAAATGTCCACTTCCAGGGAATGCAGAAAGAGTGTTTCCAACCTGCTCTATAAAAGGGAATGTTCAACACTGGGACTTCAATCGAAACATCCCAACGAAGTTTCTGAGAATGCTTCTGTCTAGAGTTTATATGAAGCCATTCCCGTTTGCAACGAAATCCTCAAAGCTATCCAAATATCCTCTTGCAGATTTTACAAAAAGAGTGTTTCAAAACTGCTCTATCAAAAGAAAGGTTCAACTCTGTTAGTTGAGGGCACACATCACAAATAAATTTCTGAGAATGCTTCTGTCTAGTTTTTACGGGAAGATATTTCCTTTTTCACCATACGCCTGAAAGCGCTCCAAATGTCCTCATCCAGATACTACAAAAAGAGTGTTTCCAACCTGCTCTATGAAAGGGAATGCTCAACTCTGTGACTTGAATGCAGACATCACAAAGAAGTTTCTGAGAATGCTGCTGTCTCCTTTTTATATGTAATCCCGTTTCCAACGAAATCCTCAAAGCTAGCCAAATATCCACTTGCAGATTCCACGAAAACAGTGTTTCAAAACTGCTCCTTCAAAACGATGGTTCAATTCTGTTAGTTGAGCAAACACATCACAAGTAAGTTTCTGAGAATGCTTCCGTCTAGTTTTTATGGGAAGATATTTCCTTTTTCAACATAGGCCTGAAAGCGCTCCAAATGTCCACTTCCAGATACTACAAAAAGAGTGTTTCAAATCTGCTCTATGAATGGGAATGTTCTACTCTGTGACTTGAATGCAACATCCCAAAGAAGTTTCTGAGAATGCTTCTGTCTAGAGTTTATCTGAAGACATACCCGTTTCCAACGAAATCCTCAAAGCTATCCAAATATCCTCTTGCAGATTCTACAAAAAGAGTGTTTCAAAGCTGCTCTTTGCAAAGAAAGGTTCAACTCTGTCAGTAGAGGGCACACATCATGAACAAGTTTCTGAGAATGCTTCTGTCTAGTTTTTATGGGAAGATATTTCCTTTTTCACGTTAGGCCTGAAAGCACGCCAAATGTTCACTTATAGACACTACAAAAAGAGTGTTTCAAACCTGCTCTGTGAAAGGGAATGTTCAACACTGTGACTTCAATTGAAACATCCCAAAGAAGTTTCTGAGAATGCTTCTGTCTAGAGTTTATCTGAAGACATACCCGTTTCCAACGAAATCCTCAAAGCTATCCACATATCCTCTTGCAGATTCTACAAAAAGAGTGTTTCAAAGCTGCTCTTTGCAAAGAAAGGTTCAACTCTGTCAGTAGAGGGCACACATCACAAACAAGTTTCTGAGAATGCTTCTGTCTAGTTTTTATGGGAAGATATTTCCTTTTTCACGTTAGGCCTGAAAGCACGCCAAATGTTCACTTATAGACACTACAAAAAGAGTGTTTCAAACCTGCTCTGTGAAAGGGAATGTTCAACACTGTGACTTCAATTGAAACATCCCAAAGAAGTTTCTGAGAATGCTTCTGTCTAGAGTTTATCTGAAGACATTCCCGTTTCCCAAGAAATCCTCAAAGCTATCCAAATATCCTCTTGCAGATTCTACAAAAAGAGTGTTTCAAAACTGCTCTTTGCAAAGAAAGGTTCAACTCTGTCAGTAGAGGGCACACATCACAAACAAGTTTCTGAGAATGCTTCTGTCTAGTTTTTATGGGAAGATATTTCCTTTTTCACCTTAGGCCTGAAAGCAATCCAAATGTTCACTTACAGACACTACAAAAAGAGTGTTTCAAACCTGCTCTGTGAAAGGGAGTGTTCAATTCTGTGACTTGAATGCAAACATCACAAAGTAGTTTCTGACAATGCTGCTGTCTGCTTTTTATACGTATTCCCGTTTCCAACGAAATCCTCCAAGCTGGCCTAATACCCACTTGCATATTCCACAAAAAGAGTGTTTCAAAACTGCTCTCTCAAAAGAAAGGTTCAACTCTGTTTGCTGAGTAGATACATCATGAAAAAAGTTCTGACATTGCTTCTATCTAGTTTTTATTGAAAGATATCTCCTTTTTCACCGTAGACCTGAAAGCGCTCCAAATGTCCACTTCCAGATAGTACAAAAAGAGTGTTTCAAACCTGCTCTATGAATGGGAATGTTCAACACTGGGACTTCAATTGAAACATCCCAAAGCAGTTTCTGAGAATGCTTCTGTGTAGAGTTTACATGAAGACATTCCCGTTTCCAACGAAATCCTCAAAGCTATCCAAATATCCTCTTGCAGATTTTACAAAAAGTGTGTTTCAGAACTGCTCTATCAAAACAAAGGTTCAACACTGTCAGTTGAGGGCACACATCACAAATAAGTTTCTGAGAATGCTTCTGTCTAGTTTTCATGGGAAGATATTTCCTTTTTCACCATAGGCCTGAAAGCGATCCAAATGTCCACATCCAGATACTACAAAAAGAGTGTTTCAAACCTGCTCTATGAAAGGGAATGTTCAACTCTGTGACTTGAATGCAAACATCACAAAGAAGTTTCTGAGAATGCTGCTGTCTGCTTTTTGTATGTAATCCCGTTTCCAACGAAATCCTCCCAGCTAGCCAAATATCCACTTGCAGATTCCGCAAAAAGAGTGTTTCAAAACTGCTCCTTCAAAACGATGGTTTAGTTCTGTTAGTTGAGTACATACATCACAGATAAGTTTCTGAGAATGCTTCTGTCTAGTTTTTATGGGAGGATATTTCCTTTTTCAACACAAGCCTGAATGCGCTCCGAATGGACACTTCCAGATATGACAAAAGGCGTGTTTCAAACCTGCTCTCTCAAAGGGAATGTTCAACTCTGTGACTTCAATGCAAACATCACAAAGAAGTTTCTGAGAATGCTGCTGTCTGCTTTTTACATGTATTCCCGTTTCCAACGAAATCCTCAAAGCTGCCCTAATATCCACTTGCATATTCCACAAAAAGAGTGTTGCAAAACTGCTCTCTCAAAAGAAAGGTTCAACTCTGTTAGCTGAGTAGATCCATCACAGAAAAGTTTCTGACGTTGCTTCTATCTAGATTTTCTTGGAAGATATTTCCATTTTCACCGTCGTCCTGAAAGCGCTCCAAATGTCCACTTCCAGGGAATGCAGAAAGAGTGTTTCCAACCTGCTCTATAAAAGGGAATGTTCAACACTGGGACTTCAATCGAAACATCCCAACGAAGTTTCTGAGAATGCTTCTGTCTAGAGTTTATATGAAGCCATTCCCGTTTGCAACGAAATCCTCAAAGCTATCCAAATATCCTCTTGCAGATTTTACAAAAAGAGTGTTTCAAAACTGCTCTATCAAAAGAAAGGTTCAACTCTGTTAGTTGAGGGCACACATCACAAATAAATTTCTGAGAATGCTTCTGTCTAGTTTTTACGGGAAGATATTTCCTTTTTCACCATACGCCTGAAAGCGCTCCAAATGTCCTCATCCAGATACTACAAAAAGAGTGTTTCCAACCTGCTCTATGAAAGGGAATGCTCAACTCTGTGACTTGAATGCAGACATCACAAAGAAGTTTCTGAGAATGCTGCTGTCTCCTTTTTATATGTAATCCCGTTTCCAACGAAATCCTCAAAGCTAGCCAAATATCCACTTGCAGATTCCACGAAAACAGTGTTTCAAAACTGCTCCTTCAAAACGATGGTTCAATTCTGTTAGTTGAGCAAACACATCACAAGTAAGTTTCTGAGAATGCTTCCGTCTAGTTTTTATGGGAAGATATTTCCTTTTTCAACATAGGCCTGAAAGCGCTCCAAATGTCCACTTCCAGATACTACAAAAAGAGTGTTTCAAATCTGCTCTATGAATGGGAATGTTCTACTCTGTGACTTGAATGCAACATCTCAAAGAAGTTTCTGAGAATGCTTCTGTCTAGAGTTTATCTGAAGACATACCCGTTTCCAACGAAATCCTCAAAGCTATCCAAATATCCTCTTGCAGATTCTACAAAAAGAGTGTTTCAAAGCTGCTCTTTGCAAAGAAAGGTTCAACTCTGTCAGTAGAGGGCACACATCACGAACAAGTTTCTGAGAATGCTTCTGTCTCGTTTTTATGGGAAGATATTTCCTTTTTCACGTTAGGCCTGAAAGCACGCCAAATGTTCACTTATAGACACTACAAAAAGAGTGTTTCAAACCTGCTCTGTGAAAGGGAATGTTCAACACTGTGACTTCAATTGAAATATCCCAAAGAAGTTTCTCAGAATGCTTCTGTCTAGAGTTTATCTGAAGACATTCCCGTTTCCCAAGAAATCCTCAAAGCTATCCAAATATCCTCTTGCAGATTCTACAAAAAGAGTGTTTCAAAACTGGTCTTTGCAAAGAAAGGTTCAACTCTGTCAGTAGAGGGCACACATCACAAACAAGTTTCTGAGAATGCTTCTGTCTAGTTTTTATGGGAAGATATTTCCTTTTTCACCTTAGGCCTGAAAGCAATCCATATGTTCACTTACAGACACTACAAAAAGAGTGTTTCAAACCTGCTCTGTGAAAGGGAGTGTTCAATTCTGTGACTTGAATGCAAACATCACAAAGTAGTTTCTGACAATGCTGCTGTCTGCTTTTTATACGTATTCCCGTTTCCAACGAAATCCTCCAAGCTGGCCTAATACCCACTTGCATATTCCACAAAAAGAGTGTTTCAAAACTGCTCTCTCAAAAGAAAGGTTCAACTCTGTTTGCTGAGTAGATACATCACGAAAAAAGTTCTGACATTGCTTCTATCTAGTTGTTATTGGAAGATATCTCCTTTTTCACCGTAGACCTGAAAGCGCTCCAAATGTCCACTTCCAGATAGTACAAAAAGAGTGTTTCAAACCTGCTCTATGAAAGGGAATGTTCAACACTGGGACTTCAATTGAAACATCCCAAAGCAGTTTCTGAGAATGCTTCTGTCTAGAGTTTACATGAAGACATTCCCGTTTCCAACGAAATCCTCAAAGCTATCCAAATATCCTCTTGCAGATTTTACAAAAAGTGTGTTTCAGAACTGCTCTATCAAAACAAAGGTTCAACACTGTCAGTTGAGGGCACACATCACAAATAAGTTTCTGAGAATGCTTCTGTCTAGTTTTCATGGGAAGATATTTCCTTTTTCACCATAGGCCTGAAAGCGATCCAAATGTCCACATCCAGATACTACAAAAAGAGTGTTTCAAACCTGCTCTATGAAAGGGAATGTTCAACTCTGTGACTTGAATGCAAACATCACAAAGAAGTTTCTGAGAATGCTGCTGTCTGCTTTTTGTATGTAATCCCGTTTCCAACGAAATCCTCCCAGCTAGCCAAATATCCACTTGCAGATTCCGCAAAAAGAGTGTTTCAAAACTGCTCCTTCAAAACGATGGTTTAGTTCTGTTAGTTGAGTACATACATCACAAATAAGTTTCTGAGAATGCTTCTGTCTAGTTTTTATGGGAGGATATTTCCTTTTTCAACACAAGCCTGAATGCGCTCCGAATGGACACTTCCAGATATGACAAAAGGCGTGTTTCAAACCTGCTCTCTCAAAGGGAATGTTCAACTCTGTGACTTCAATGCAAACATCACAAAGAAGTTTCTGAGAATGCTGCTGTCTGCTTTTTACATGTATTCCCGTTTCCAACGAAATCCTCAAAGCTGCCCTAATATCCACTTGCATATTCCACAAAAAGAGTGTTGCAAAACTGCTCTCTCAAAAGAAAGGTTCAACTCTGTTAGCTGAGTAGATCCATCACATAAAAGTTTCTGACATTGCTTCTATCTAGATTTTCTTGGAAGATATTTCCATTTTCACCGTCGTCCAGAAAGCGCTCCAAATGTCCACTTCCAGGGAATGCAGAAAGAGTGTTTCCAACCTGCTCTATAAAAGGGAATGTTCAACACTGGGACTTCAATCGAAACATCCCAACGAAGTTTCTGAGAATGCTTCTGTCTAGAGTTTATATGAAGCCATTCCCGTTTGCAACGAAATCCTCAAAGCTATCCAAATATCCTCTTGCAGATTTTACAAAAAGAGTGTTTCAAAACTGCTCTATCAAAAGAAAGGTTCAACTCTGTTAGTTGAGGGCACACATCACAAATAAACTTCTGAGAATGCTTCTGTCTAGTTTTCATGGGAAGATATTTCCTTTTTCACCATAGGCCTGAAAGCGATCCAAATGTCCACATCCAGATACTACAAAAAGAGGGTTTCAAACCTGCTCTATGAAAGGGAATGTTCAACTCTGTGACTTGAATGTAAACATCACAAAGAAGTTTCTGAGAATGCTGCTGTCTGCTTTTTGTATGTAATCCCGTTTCCAACGAAATCCCCCAAGCTAGCCAAATATCCACTTGCAGATTCCGCAAAAAGAGTGTTTCAAAACTGCTCCTTCAAAACGATGGTTTAGTTCTGTTAGTTGAGTACATACATCACAAATAAGTTTCTGAGAATGCTTCTGTCTAGTTTTTATGGGAGGATATTTCCTTTTTCAACACAAGCCTGAATGCGCTCCGAATGGACACTTCCAGATATGACAAAAGGCGTGTTTCAAACCTGCTCTCTCAAAGGGAATGTTCAACTCTGTGACTTCAATGCAAACATCACAAAGAAGTTTCTGAGAATGCTGCTGTCTGCTTTTTACATGTATTCCCGTTTCCAACGAAATCCTCAAAGCTGCCCTAATATCCACTTGCATATTCCACAAAAAGAGTGTTGCAAAACTGCTCTCTCAAAAGAAAGGTTCAACTCTGTTAGCTGAGTAGATCCATCACAGAAAAGTTTCTGACATTGCTTCTATCTAGATTTTCTTGGAAGATATTTCCATTTTCACCGTCGTCCTGAAAGCGCTCCAAATGTCCACTTCCAGGGAATGCAGAAAGAGTGTTTCCAACCTGCTCTATAAAAGGGAATGTTCAACACTGGGACTTCAATCAAAACATCCCAACGAAGTTTCTGAGAATGCTTCTGTCTAGAGTTTATATGAAGCCATTCCCGTTTGCAACGAAATCCTCAAAGCTATCCAAATATCCTCTTGCAGATTTTACAAAAAGAGTGTTTCAAAACTGCTCTATCAAAAGAAAGGTTCAACTCTGTTAGTTGAGGGCACACATCTCAAATAAACTTCTGAGAATGCTTCTGTCTAGTTTTTACGGGAAGATATTTCCTTTTTCACCATACGCCTGAAAGCGCTCCAAATGTCCTCATCCAGATACTACAAAAAGAGTGTTTCCAACCTGCTCTATGAAAAGGAATGCTCAACTCTGTGAATTGAATGCAGACATCACAAAGAAGTTTCTGAGAATGCTGCTGTCTCCTTTTTATATGTAATCCCGTTTCCAACGAAATCCTCAAAGCTAGCCAAATATCCACTTGCAGATTCCACGAAAACAGTGTTTCAAAACTGCTCCTTCAAAACGATGGTTCAATCCTGTTAGTTGAGCAAACACATCACAAATAAGTTTCTGAGAATGCTTCTGTCTAGTTTTCATGGGAAGATATTTCCTTTTTCAACATAGGCCTGAAAGCGCTCCAAATGTCCACTTCCAGATACTACAAAAAGAGTGTTTCAAATCTGCTCTATGAATGGGAATGTTCTACTCTGTGACTTGAATGCAACATCCCAAAGAAGTTTCTGAGAATGCTTCTGTCTAGAGTTTATCTGAAGACATACCCGTTTCCAACGAAATCCTCAAAGCTATCCAAATATCCTCTTGCAGATTCTACAAAAAGAGTGTTTCAAAGCTGCTCTTTGCAAAGAAAGGTTCAACTCTGTCAGTAGAGGGCACACATCAAGAACAAGTTTCTGAGAACGCTTCTGTCTAGTTTTTATGGGAAGATATTTCCTTTTTCACGTTACGCCTGAAAGCACGCCAAATGTTCACTTATAGACACTACAAAAAGAGTGTTTCAAACCTGCTCTGTGAAAGGGAATGTTCAACACTGTGACTTCAATTGAAACATCCCAAAGAAGTTTCTGAGAATGCTTCCGTCTAGAGTTTATCTGAAGACATTCCCGTTTCCCAAGAAATCCTCAAAGCTATCCAAATATCCTCTTGCAGATTCTACAAAAAGAGTGTTTCAAAACTGCTCTTTGCAAAGAAAGGTTCAGCTCTGTCAGTAGAGGGCACACATCACAAACAAGTTTCTGAGAATGCTTCTGTCTAGTTTTTATGGGAAGATATTTCCTTTTTCACCTTAGGCCTGAAAGCAATCCAAATGTTCACTTACAGACACTACAAAAAGAGTGTTTCAAACCTGCTCTGTGAAAGGGAATGTTCAACACTGTGACTTCAATTGAAACATCCCAAAGAAGTTTCTGAGAATGCTTCTGTCTAGAGTTTATCTGAAGACATTCCCGTTTCCCAAGAAATCCTCAAAGCTATCCAAATATCCTCTTGCAGATTCTACAAAAAGAGTGTTTCAAAACTGCTCTTTGCAAAGAAAGGTTCAACTCTGTCAGTAGAGGGCACACATCACAAACAAGTTTCTGAGAATGCTTCTGTCTAGTTTTTATGGGAAGATATTTCCTTTTTCACCTTAGGCCTGAAAGCAATCCAAATGTTCACTTACAGACACTACAAAAAGAGTGTTTCAAACCTGCTCTGTGAAAGGGAGTGTTCAATTCTGTGACTTGAATGCAAACATCACAAAGTAGTTTCTGACAATGCTGCTGTCTGCTTTTTATACGTATTCCCGTTTCCAACGAAATCCTCCAAGCTGGCCTAATACCCACTTGCATATTCCACAAAAAGAGTGTTTCAAAACTGCTCTCTCAAAAGAAAGGTTCAACTCTGTTTGCTGAGTAGATACATCATGAAAAAAGTTCTGACATTGCTTCTATCTAGTTTTTATTGGAAGATATCTCCTTTTTCACCGTAGACCTGAAAGCGCTCCAAATGTCCACTTCCAGATACTACAAAAAGAGTGTTTCAAACCTGCTCTATGAAAGGGAATGTTCAACACTGGGACTTCAATTGAAACATCCCAAAGCAGTTTCTGAGAATGCTTCTGTCTAGAGTTTACATGAAGACATTCCCCGTTTCCAACGAAATCCTCAAAGCTATCCAAATATCCTCTTGCAGATTTTACAAAAAGTGTGTTTCAGAACTGCTCTATCAAAACAAAGGTTCAACACTGTCAGTTGAGGGCACACATCACAAATAAGTTTCTGAGAATGCTTCTGTCTAGTTTTCATGGGAAGATATTTCCTTTTTCACCATAGGCCTGAAAGCGATCCAAATGTCCACATCCAGATACTACAAAAAGAGTGTTTCAAACCTGCTCTATGAAAGGGAATGTTCAACTCTGTGACTTGAATGCAAACATCACAAAGAAGTTTCTGAGAATGCTGCTGTCTGCTTTTTGTATGTAATCCCGTTTCCAACGAAATCCTCCCAGCTAGCCAAATATCCACTTGCAGATTCCGCAAAAAGAGTGTTTCAAAACTGCTCCTTCAAAACGATGGTTTAGTTCTGTTAGTTGAGTACATACATCACAGATAAGTTTCTGAGAATGCTTCTGTCTAGTTTTTATGGGAGGATATTTCCTTTTTCAACACAAGCCTGAATGCGCTCCGAATGGACACTTCCAGATATGACAAAAGGCGTGTTTCAAACCTGCTCTCTCAAAGGGAATGTTCAACTCTGTGACTTCAATGCAAACATCACAAAGAAGTTTCTGAGAATGCTGCTGTCTGCTTTTTACATGTATTCCCGTTTCCAACGAAATCCTCAAAGCTGCCCTAATATCCACTTGCATATTCCACAAAAAGAGTGTTGCAAAACTGCTCTCTCAAAAGAAAGGTTCAACTCTGTTAGCTGAGTAGATCCATCACATAAAAGTTTCTGACGTTGCTTCTATCTAGATTTTCTTGGAAGATATTTCCATTTTCACCGTCGTCCTGAAAGCGCTCCAAATGTCCACTTCCAGGGAATGCAGAAAGAGTGTTTCCAACCTGCTCTATAAAAGGGAATGTTCAACACTGGGACTTCAATCGAAACATCCCAACGAAGTTTCTGAGAATGCTTCTGTCTAGAGTTTATATGAAGCCATTCCCGTTTGCAATGAAATCCTCAAAGCTATCCAAATATCCTCTTGCAGATTTTACAAAAAGAGTGTTTCAAAACTGCTCTATCAAAAGAAAGGTTCAACTCTGTTAGTTGAGGGCACCCATCACAAATAAATTTCTGGGAATGCTTCTGTCTAGTTTTTACGGGAAGATATTTCCTTTTTCACCATAGGCCTGAAAGCGCTCCAAATGTCCTCATCCAGATACTACACAAAGAGTGTTTCCAACCTGCTCTATGAAAGGGAATGCTCAACTCTGTGAATTGAATGCAGACATCACAAAGAAGTTTCTGAGAATGCTGCTGTCTCCTTTTTATATGTAATCCCGTTTCCAACGAAATCCTCAAAGCTATCCAAATATCCACTTGCAGATTCCACGAAAACAGTGTTTCAAAACTGCTCCTTCAAAACGATGGTTCAATTCTGTTAGTTGAGCAAACACATCACAAGTAAGTTTCTGAGAATGCTTCCGTCTAGTTTTTATGGGAAGATATTTCCTTTTTCAACATAGGCCTGAAAGCGCTCCAAATGTCCACTTCCAGATACTACAAAAAGAGTGTTTCAAATCTGCTCTATGAATGGGAATGTTCTACTCTGTGACTTGAATGCAACATCCCAAAGAAGTTTCTGAGAATGCTTCTGTCTAGAGTTTATCTGAAGACATACCCGTTTCCAACGAAATCCTCCAAGCTATCCAAATATCCTCTTGCAGATTCTACAAAAAGAGTGTTTCAAAGCTGCTCTTTGCAAAAAAAGGTTCAACTCTGTCAGTAGAGGGCACACATCATGAACAAGTTTCTGAGAATGCTTCTGTCTAGCTTTTATGGGAAGATATTTCCTTTTTCACGTTAGGCCTGAAAGCACGCCAAATGTTCACTTATAGACACTACAAAAAGAGTGTTTCAAACCTGCTCTGTGAAAGGGAATGTTCAACACTGTGACTTCAATTGAAACATCCCAAAGAAGTTTCTGAGAATGCTTCTGTCTAGAGTTTATCTGAAGACATACCCGTTTCCAACGAAATCCTCAAAGCTATCCACATATCCTCTTGCAGATTCTACAAAAAGAGTGTTTCAAAGCTGCTCTTTGCAAAGAAAGGTTCAACTCTGTCAGTAGAGGGCACACATCACGAACAAGTTTCTGAGAATGCTTCTGTCTAGTTTTTATGGGAAGATATTTCCTTTTTCACGTTAGGCCTGAAAGCACGCCAAATGTTCAATTATAGACACTACAAAAAGAGTGTTTCAAACCTGCTCTGTGAGAGGGAATGTTCAACACTGTGACTTCAATTGAAACATCCCAAAGAAGTTTCTGAGAATGCTTCTGTCTAGAGTTTATCTGAAGACATTCCCGTTTCCCAAGAAATCCTCAAAGCTATCCAAATATCCTCTTGCAGATTCTACAAAAAGAGTGTTTCAAAACTGCTCTTTGCAAAGAAAGGTTCAACTCTGTCAGTAGAGGGCACACATCACAAACAAGTTTCTGAGAATGCTTCTGTCTAGTTTTTATGGGAAGATATTTCCTTTTTCACCTTAGGCCTGAAAGCAATCCAAATGTTCACTTACAGACACTACAAAAAGAGTGTTTCAAACCTGCTCTGTGAAAGGGAGTGTTCAGTTCTGTGACTTGAATGCAAACATCACAAAGTAGTTTCTGACAATGCTGCTGTCTGCTTTTTATACGTATTCCCGTTTCCAACGAAATCCTCCAAGCTGGCCTAATACCCACTTTCATATTCCACAAAAAGAGTGTTTCAAAACTGCTCTCTCAAAAGAAAGGTTCAACTCTGTTTGCTGAGTAGATACATCATGAAAAAAGTTCTGACATTGCTTCTATCTAGTTTTTATTGGAAGATATCTCCTTTTTCACCGTAGACCTGAAAGCGCTCCAAATGTCCACTTCCAGATAGTACAAAAAGAGTGTTTCAAACCTGCTCTATGAATGGGAATGTTCAACACTGGGACTTCAATTGAAACATCCCAAAGCAGTTTCTGAGAATGCTTCTGTCTAGAAGTTTACATGAAGACATTCCCGTTTCCAACGAAATCCTCAAAGCTATCCAAATATCCTCTTGCAGATTTTACAAAAAGTGTGTTTCAGAACTGCTCTATCAAAACAAAGGTTCAACACTGTCAGTTGAGGGCACACATCACAAATAAGTTTCTGAGAATGCTTCTGTCTAGTTTTCATGGGAAGATATTTCCTTTTTCACCATAGGCCTGAAAGCGATCCAAATGTCCACATCCAGATACTACAAAAAGAGTGTTTCCAACCTGCTCTATGAAAGGGAATGTTCAACTCTGTGACTTGAATGCAAAAATCACAAAGAAGTTTCTGAGAATGCTGCTGTCTGCTTTTTGTATGTAATCCCGTTTCCAACGAAATCCTCCCAGCTAGCCAAATATCCACTTGCAGATTCCGCAAAAAGAGTGTTTCAAAACTGCTCCTTCAAAACGATGGTTTAGTTCTGTTAGTTGAGTACATACATCACAGATAAGTTTCTGAGAATGCTTCTGTCTAGTTTTCTGGGAGGATATTTCCTTTTTCAAAACAAGCCTGAATGCGCTCCGAATGGACACTTCCAGATATGACAAAAGGCGTGTTTCAAACCTGCTCTCTCAAAGGGAATGTTCAACTCTGTGACTTCAATGCAAACATCACAAAGAAGTTTCTGAGAATGCTGCTGTCTGCTTTTTACATGTATTCCCGTTTCCAACGAAATCCTCAAAGCTGCCCTAATATCCACTTGCATATTCCACAAAAAGAGTGTTGCAAAACTGCTCTCTCAAAAGAAAGGTTCAACTCTGTTAGCTGAGTAGATCCATCACAGAAAAGTTTCTGACATTGCTTCTATCTAGATTTTATTGGAAGATATTTCCATTTTCACCGTCGTCCTGAAAGCGCTCCAAATGTCCACTTCCAGGGAATGCAGAAAGAGTGTTTCCAACCTGCTCTATAAAAGGGAATGTTCAACACTGGGACTTCAATCGCAACATCCCAACGAAGTTTCTGAGAATGCTTCTGTCTAGAGTTTATATGAAGCCATTCCCGTTTGCAACGAAATCCTCAAAGCTATCCAAATATCCTCTTGCAGATTTTACAAAAAGAGTGTTTCAAAACTGCTCTATCAAAAGAAAGTTTCAACTCTGTTAGTTGAGGGCACACATCTCAAATAAACTTCTGAGAATGCTTCTGTCTAGTTTTTACGGGAAGATATTTCCTTTTTCACCATACGCCTGAAAGCGCTCCAAATGTCCTCATCCAGATACTACAAAAAGAGTGTTTCCAACCTGCTCTATGAAAGGGAATGCTCAACTCTGTGAATTGAATGCAGACATCACAAAGAAGTTTCTGAGAATGCTGCTGTCTCCTTTTTATATGTAATCCCGTTTCCAACGAAATCCTCAAAGCTAGCCAAATATCCACTTGCAGATTCCACGAAAACTGTGTTTCAAAACTGCTCCTTCAAAACGATGGTTCAATCCTGTTAGTTGAGCAAACACATCACAAGTAAGTTTCTGAGAATGCTTCCCGTCTAGTTTTTATGGGAAGATATTTCCTTTTTCAACATAGGCCTGAAAGCGCTCCAAATGTCCACTTCCAGATACTACAAAAAGAGTGTTTCAAATCTGCTCTATGCATGGGAATGTTCTACTCTGTGACTTGAATGCAACATCCCAAAGAAGTTTCTGAGAATGTTTCTGTCTAGAGTTTATCTGAAGACATACCCGTTTCCAACGAAATCCTCCAAGCTATCCAAATATCCTCTTGCAGATTCTACAAAAAGAGTGTTTCAAAGCTGCTCTTTGCAAAGAAAGGTTCAACTCTGTCAGTAGAGGGCACACATCATGAACAAGTTTCTGAGAATGCTTCTGTCTAGTTTTTATGGGAAGATATTTCCTTTTTCACGTTAGGCCTGAAAGCACGCGAAATGTTCACTTATACACACTACAAAAAGAGTGTTTCAAACCTGCTCTGTGAAAGGGAATGTTCAACACTGTGACTTCAATTGAAATATCCCAAAGAAGTTTCTGAGAATGCTTCTGTCTAGAGTTTATCTGAAGACATTCCCGTTTCCCAAGAAATCTTCAAAGCTATCCAAATATCCTCTTGCAGATTCTACAAAAAGAGTGTTTCAAAACTGCTCTTTGCAAAGAAAGGTTCAACTCTGTCAGTAGAGGGCACACATCACAAACAAGTTTCTGAGAATGCTTCTGTCTAGTTTTTATGGGAAGATATTTCCTTTTTCACCTTAGGCCTGAAAGCAATCCATATGTTCACTTACAGACACTACAAAAAGAGTGTTTCAAACCTGCTCTGTGAAAGGGAGTGTTCAATTCTGTGACTTGAATGCAAACATCACAAAGTAGTTTCTGACAATGCTGCTGTCTGCTTTTTATACGTATTCCCGTTTCCAACGAAATCCTCCAAGCTGGCCTAATACCCACTTGCATATTCCACAAAAAGAGTGTTTCAAAACTGCTCTCTCAAAAGAAAGGTTCAACTCTGTGTGCTGAGTAGATACATCATGAAAAAAGTTCTGACATTGCTTCTATCTAGTTTTTATTGGAAGATATCTCCTTTTTCACCGTAGACCTGAAAGCGCTCCAAATGTCCACTTCCAGATAGTACAAAAAGAGTGTTTCAAACCTGCTCTATGAATGGGAATGTTCAACACTGGGACTTCAATTGAAACATCCCAAAGCAGTTTCTGAGAATGCTTCTGTCTAGAGTTTACATGAAGACATTCCCGTTTCCAACGAAATCCTCAAAGCTATCCAAATATCCTCTTGCAGATTTTACAAAAAGTGTGTTTCAGAACTGCTCTATCAAAACAAAGGTTCAACACTTGTCAGTTGAGGGCACACATCACAAATAAGTTTCTGAGAATGCTTCTGTCTAGTTTTCATGGGAAGATATTTCCTTTTTCACCATAGGCCTGAAAGCGATCCAAATGTCCACATCCAGATACTACAAAAAGAGTGTTTCAAACCTGCTCTATGAAAGGGAATGTTCAACTCTGTGACTTGAATGCAAACATCACAAAGAAGTTTCTGAGAATGCTGCTGTCTCCTTTTTATATGTAATCCCGTTTCCAACGAAATCCTCAAAGCTAGCCAAATATCCACTTGCAGATTCCACGAAAACTGTGTTTCAAAACTGCTCCTTCAAAACGATGGTTCAATCCTGTTAGTTGAGCAAACACATCACAAGTAAGTTTCTGAGAATGCTTCCGTCTAGTTTTTATGGGAAGATATTTCCTTTTTCAACATAGGCCTGAAAGCGCTCCAAATGTCCACTTCCAGATACTACAAAAAGAGTGTTTCAAATCTGCTCTATGAATGGGAATGTTCTACTCTGTGACTTGAATGCAACATCCCAAAGAAGTTTCTGAGAATGCTTCTGTCTAGAGTTTATCTGAAGACATACCCGTTTCCAACGAAATCCTCAAAGCTATCCAAATATCCTCTTGCAGATTCTACAAAAAGAGTGTTTCAAAGCTGCTCTTTGCAAAGAAAGGTTCAACTCTGTCAGTAGAGGGCACACATCACGAACAAGTTTCTGAGAATGCTTCTGTCTAGTTTTTATGGGAAGATATTTCCTTTTTCACGTTAGGCCTGAAAGCACGCCAAATGTTCACTTATAGACACTACAAAAAGAGTGTTTCAAACCTGCTCTGTGAAAGGGAATGTTCAACACTGTGACTTCAATTGAAACATCCCAAAGAAGTTTCTGAGAATGCTTCTGTCTAGAGTTTATCTGAAGACATACCCGTTTCCAACGAAATCCTCAAAGCTATCCACATATCCTCTTGCAGATTCTACAAAAAGAGTGTTTCAAAGCTGCTCTTTGCAAAGAAAGGTTCAACTCTGTCAGTAGAGGGCACACATCACAAACAAGTTTCTGAGAATGCTTCTGTCTAGTTTTTATGGGAAGATATTTCCTTTTTCACGTTAGGCCTGAAAGCACGCCAAATGTTCACTTATAGACACTACAAAAAGAGTGTTTCAAACCTGCTCTGTGAAAGGGAATGTTCAACACTGTGACTTCAATTGAAACATCCCAAAGAAGTTTCTGAGAATGCTTCTGTCTAGAGTTTATCTGAAGACATTCCCGTTTCCCAAGAAATCCTCAAAGCTATCCAAATATCCTCTTGCAGATTCTACAAAAAGAGTGTTTCAAAACTGCTCTTTGCAAAGAAAGGTTCAACTCTGTCAGTAGAGGGCACACATCACAAACAAGTTTCTGAGAATGCTTCTGTCTAGTTTTTATGGGAAGATATTTCCTTTTTCACCTTAGGCCTGAAAGCAATCCAAATGTTCACTTACAGACACTACAAAAAGAGTGTTTCAAACCTGCTCTGTGAAAGGGAGTGTTCAATTCTGTGACTTGAATGCAAACATCACAAAGTAGTTTCTGACAATGCTGCTGTCTGCTTTTTATACGTATTCCCGTTTCCAACGAAATCCTCCAAGCTGGCCTAATACCCACTTGCATATTCCACAAAAATAGTGTTTCAAAACTGCTCCCTCAAAAGAAAGGTTCAACTCTGTTTGCTGAGTAGATACATCATGAAAAAAGTTCTGACATTGCTTCTATCTAGTTTTTATTGGAAGATATCTCCTTTTTCACCGTACACCTGAAAGCGCTCCAAATGTCCACTTCCAGATAGTACAAAAAGAGTGTTTCAAACCTGCTCTATGAATGGGAATGTTCAACACTGGGACTTCAATTGAAACATCCCAAAGCAGTTTCTGAGAATGCTTCTGTGTAGAGTTTACATGAAGACATTCCCGTTTCCAACGAAATCCTCAAAGCTATCCAAATATCCTCTTGCAGATTTTACAAAAAGTGTGTTTCAGAACTGCTCTATCAAAACAAAGGTTCAACACTGTCAGTTGAGGGCACACATCACAAATAAGTTTCTGAGAATGCTTCTGTCTAGTTTTCATGGGAAGATATTTCCTTTTTCACCATAGGCCTGAAAGCGATCCAAATGTCCACATCCAGATACTACAAAAAGAGTGTTTCAAACCTGCTCTATGAAAGGGAATGTTCAACTCTGTGACTTGAATGCAAACATCACAAAGAAGTTTCTGAGAATGCTGCTGTCTGCTTTTTGTATGTAATCCCGTTTCCAACGAAATCCTCCCAGCTAGCCAAATATCCACTTGCAGATTCCGCAAAAAGAGTGTTTCAAAACTGCTCCTTCAAAACGATGGTTTAGTTCTGTTAGTTGAGTACATACATCACAGATAAGTTTCTGAGAATGCTTCTGTCTAGTTTTTATGGGAGGATATTTCCTTTTTCAACACAAGCCTGAATGCGCTCCGAATGGACACTTCCAGATATGACAAAAGGCGTGTTTCAAACCTGCTCTCTCAAAGGGAATGTTCAACTCTGTGACTTCAATGCAAACATCACAAAGAAGTTTCTGAGAATGCTGCTGTCTGCTTTTTACATGTATTCCCGTTTCCAACGAAATCCTCAAAGCTGCCCTAATATCCACTTGCATATTCCACAAAAAGAGTGTTGCAAAACTGCTCTCTCAAAAGAAAGGTTCAACTCTGTTAGCTGAGTAGATCCATCACAGAAAAGTTTCTGACGTTGCTTCTATCTAGATTTTCTTGGAAGATATTTCCATTTTCACCGTCGTCCTGAAAGCGCTCCAAATGTCCACTTCCAGGGAATGCAGAAAGAGTGTTTCCAACCTGCTCTATAAAAGGGAATGTTCAACACTGGGACTTCAATCGAAACATCCCAACGAAGTTTCTGAGAATGCTTCTGTCTAGAGTTTATATGAAGCCATTCCCGTTTGCAACGAAATCCTCAAAGCTATCCAAATATCCTCTTGCAGATTTTACAAAAAGAGTGTTTCAAAACTGCTCTATCAAAAGAAAGGTCCAACTCTGTTAGTTGAGGGCACACATCACAAATAAACTTCTGAGAATGCTTCTGTCTAGTTTTTACGGGAAGATATTTCCTTTTTCACCATACGCCTGAAAGCGCTCCAAATGTCCTCATCCAGATACTACAAAAAGAGTGTTTCCAACCTGCTCTATGAAAGGGAATGCTCAACTCTGTGAATTGAATGCAGACATCACAAAGAAGTTTCTGAGAATGCTGCTGTCTCCTTTTTATATGTAATCCCGTTTCCAACGAAATCCTCAAAGCTAGCCAAATATCCACTTGCAGATTCCACGAAAACAGTGTTTCAAAACTGCTCCTTCAAAACGATGGTTCAGTCCTGTTAGTTGAGCAAACACATCACAAATAAGTTTCTGAGAATGCTTCCGTCTAGTTTTTATGGGAAGATATTTCCTTTTTCAACATAGGCCTGAAAGCGCTCCAAATGTCCACTTCCAGATACTACAAAAAGAGTGTTTCAAATCTGCTCTATGAATGGGAATGTTCTACTCTGTGACTTGAATGCAACATCCCAAAGAAGTTTCTGAGAATGCTTCTGTCTAGAGTTTATCTGAAGACATACCCGTTTCCAACGAAATCCTCAAAGCTATCCAAATATCCTCTTGCAGATTCTACAAAAAGTGTGTTTCAAAGCTGCTCTTTGCAAAGAAAGGTTCAACTCTGTCAGTAGAGGGCACACATCACGAACAAGTTTCTGAGAATGCTTCTGTCTAGTTTTTATGGGAAGATATTTCCTTTTTCACGTTAGGCCTGAAAGCACGCCAAATGTTCACTTATAGACACTACAAAAAGAGTGTTTCAAACCTGCTCTGTGAAAGGGAATGTTCAACACTGTGACTTCAATTGAAACATCCCAAAGAAGTTTCTGAGAATGCTTCTGTCTAGAGTTTATCTGAAGACATTCCCGTTTCCCAAGTAAATCCTCAAAGCTATCCAAATATCCTCTTGCAGATTCTACAAAAAGAGTGTTTCAAAACTGGTCTTTGCAAAGAAAGGTTCAACTCTGTCAGTAGAGGGCACACATCACAAACAAGTTTCTGAGAATGCTTCTGTCTAGTTTTTATGGGAAGATATTTCCTTTTTCACCTTAGGCCTGAAAGCAATCCAAATGTTCACTTACAGACACTACAAAAAGAGTGTTTCAAACCTGCTCTGTGAAAGGGAGTGTTCAATTCTGTGACTTGAATGCAAACATCACAAAGTAGTTTCTGACAATGCTGCTGTCTGCTTTTTATACGTATTCCCGTTTCCAACGAAATCCTCCAAGCTGGCCTAATACCCACTTGCATATTCCACAAAAAGAGTGTTTCAAAACTGCTCTCTCAAAAGAAAGGTTCAACTCTGTTTGCTGAGTAGATACATCATGAAAAAAGTTCTGACATTGCTTCTATCTAGTTTTTATTGGAAGATATCTCCTTTTTCACCGTAGACCTGAAAGCGCTCCAAATGTCCACTTCCAGATAGTACAAAAAGAGTGTTTCAAACCTGCTCTATGAAAGGGAATGTTCAACACTGGGACTTCAATTGAAACATCCCAAAGCAGTTTCTGAGAATGCTTCTGTCTAGAGTTTACATGAAGACATTCCCGTTTCCAACGAAATCCTCAAAGCTATCCAAATATCCTCTTGCAGATTTTACAAAAAGTGTGTTTCAGAACTGCTCTATCAAAACAAAGGTTCAACACTGTCAGTTGAGGGCACACATCACAAATAAGTTTCTGAGAATGCTTCTGTCTAGTTTTCATGGGAAGATATTTCCTTTTTCACCATAGGCCTGAAAGCGATCCAAATGTCCACATCCAGATACTACAAAAAGAGTGTTTCAAACCTGCTCTATGAAAGGGAATGTTCAACTCTGTGACTTGAATGCAAACATCACAAAGAAGTTTCTGAGAATGCTGCTCTCTGCTTTTTGTATGTAATCCCGTTTCCAACGAAATCCTCCAAGCTAGCCAAATATCCACTTGCAGATTCCGCAAAAAGAGTGTTTCAAAACTGCTCCTTCAAAACGATGGTTTAGTTCTGTTAGTTGAGTACATACATCACAAATAAGTTTCTGAGAATGCTTCTGTCTAGTTTTTCTGGGAGGATATTTCCTTTTTCAACACAAGCCTGAATGCGCTCCGAATGGACACTTCCAGATATGACAAAAGGCGTGTTTCAAACCTGCTCTCTCAAAGGGAATGTTCAACTCTGTGACTTCAATGCAAACATCACAAAGAAGTTTCTGAGAATGCTGCTGTCTGCTTTTTACATGTATTCCCCGTTTCCAACGAAATCCTCAAAGGTGCCCTAATATCCACTTGCATATTCCACAAAAAGAGTGTTGCAAAACTGCTCTCTCAAAAGAAAGGTTCAACTCTGTTAGCTGAGTAGATCCATCACATAAAAGTTTCTGACGTTGCTTCTATCTAGATTTTATTGGAAGATATTTCCATTTTCACCGTCGTCCTGAAAGCGCTCCAAATGTCCACTTCCAGGGAATGCAGAAAGAGTGTTTCCAACCTGCTCTATAAAAGGGTATGTTCAACACTGGGACTTCAATCGAAACATCCCAACGAAGTTTCTGAGAATGCTTCTGTCTAGAGTTTATGTGAAGCCATTCTCGTTTGCAACGAAATCCTCAAAGCTATCCAAATATCCTCTTGCAGATTTTACAAAAAGAGTGTTTCAAAACTGCTCTATGAAAAGAAAGGTTCAACTCTGTTAGTTGAGGGCACACATCACAAATAAACTTCTGAGAATGCTTCTGTCTAGTTTTTACGGGAAGATATTTCCTTTTTCACCATAGGCCAGAAAGCGCTCCAAATGTCCTCATCCAGATACTACAAAAAGAGTGTTTCCAACCTGCTCTATGAAAGGGAATGCTCAACTCTGTGAATTGAATGCAGACATCACAAAGAAGTTTCTGAGAATGCTGCTGTCTCCTTTTTATATGTAATCCCGTTTCCAACGAAATCCTCAAAGCTAGCCAAATATCCACTTGCAGATTCCACGAAAACAGTGTTTCAAAACTGCTCCTTCAAAACGATGGTTCAATCCTGTTAGTTGAGCAAACACATCACAAATAAGTTTCTGAGAATGCTTCCGTCTAGTTTTTATGGGAAGATATTTCCTTTTTCAACATAGGCCTGAAAGCGCTCCAAATGTCCACTTCCAGATACTACAAAAAGAGTGTTTCAAATCTGCTCTATGAATGGGAATGTTCTACTCTGTGACTTGAATGCAACATCCCAAAGAAGTTTCTGAGAATGCTTCTGTCTAGAGTTTATCTGAAGACATACCCGTTTCCAACGAAATCCTCAAAGCTATCCAAATATCCTCTTGCAGATTCTACAAAAAGAGTGTTTCAAAGCTGCTCTTTGCAAAGAAAGGTTCAACTCTGTCAGTAGAGGGCACACATCACGAACAAGTTTCTGAGAATGCTTCTGTCTCGTTTTTATGGGAAGATATTTCCTTTTTCACGTTAGGCCTGAAAGCACGCCAAATGTTCACTTATAGACACTACAAAAAGAGTGTTTCAAACCTGCTCTGTGAAAGGGAATGTTCAACACTGTGACTTCAATTGAAATATCCCAAAGAAGTTTCTCAGAATGCTTCTGTCCAGAGTTTACATGAAGACATTCCCGTTTCCCAAGAAATCCTCAAAGCTATCCAAATATCCTCTTGCAGATTCTACAAAAAGAGTGTTTCAAAACTGCTCTTTGCAAAGAAAGGTTCAACTCTGTCAGTAGAGGGCACACATCACAAACAAGTTTCTGAGAATGCTTCTGTCTAGTTTTTATGGGAAGATATTTCCTTTTTCACCTTAGGCCTGAAAGCAATCCAAATGTTCACTTACAGACACTACAAAAAGAGTGTTTCAAACCTGCTCTGTGAAAGGGAGTGTTCAATTCTGTGACTTGAATGCAAACATCACAAAGTAGTTTCTGACAATGCTGCTGTCTGCTTTTTATACGTATTCCCGTTTCCAACGAAATCCTCCAAGCTGGCCTAATACCCACTTGCATATTCCACAAAAAGAGTGTTTCAAAACTGCTCTCTCAAAAGAAAGGTTCAACTCTGTTTGCTGAGTAGATACATCATGAAAAAAGTTCTGACATTGCTTCTATCTAGTTTTTATTGGAAGATATCTCCTTTTTCACCGTAGACCTGAAAGCGCTCCAAATGTCCACTTCCAGATAGTACAAAAAGAGTGTTTCAAACCTGCTCTATGAAAGGGAATGTTCAACACTGGGACTTCAATTGAAACATCCCAAAGCAGTTTCTGAGAATGCTTCTGTCTAGAGTTTACATGAAGACATTCCCGTTTCCAACGAAATCCTCAAAGCTATCCAAATATCCTCTTGCAGATTTTACAAAAAGTGTGTTTCAGAACTGCTCTATCAAAACAAAGGTTCAACACTGTCAGTTGAGGGCACACATCACAAATAAGTTTCTGAGAATGCTTCTGTCTAGTTTTCATGGGAAGATATTTCCTTTTTCACCATAGGCCTGAAAGCGATCCAAATGTCCACATCCAGATACTACAAAAAGAGTGTTTCAAACCTGCTCTATGAAAGGGAATGTTCAGCTCTGTGACTTGAATGCAAACATCACAAAGAAGTTTCTGAGAATGCTGCTGTCTGCTTTTTGTATGTAATCCCGTTTCCAACGAAATCCTCCCAGCTAGCCAAATATCCACTTGCAGATTCCGCAAAAAGAGTGTTTCAAAACTGCTCCTTCAAAACGATGGTTTAGTTCTGTTAGTTGAGTACATACATCACAGATAAGTTTCTGAGAATGCTTCTGTCTAGTTTTTATGGGAGGATATTTCCTTTTTCAACACAAGCCTGAATGCGCTCCGAATGGACACTTCCAGATATGACAAAAGGCGTGTTTCAAACCTGCTCTCTCAAAGGGAATGTTCAACTCTGTGACTTCAATGCAAACATCACAAAGAAGTTTCTGAGAATGCTGCTGTCTGCTTTTTACATGTATTCCCGTTTCCAACGAAATCCTCAAAGCTGCCCTAATATCCACTTGCATATTCCACAAAAAGAGTGTTGCAAAACTGCTCTCTCAAAAGAAAGGTTCAACTCTGTTAGCTGAGTAGATCCATCACATAAAAGTTTCTGACATTGCTTCTATCTAGATTTTGCTTGGAAGATATTTCCATTTTCACCGTCGTCCTGAAAGCGCTCCAAATGTCCACTTCCAGGGAATGCAGAAAGAGTGTTTCCAACCTGCTCTATAAAAGGGAATGTTCAACACTGGGACTTCAATCGAAACATCCCAACGAAGTTTCTGAGAATGCTTCTGTCTAGAGTTTATATGAAGCCATTCCCGTTTGCAACGAAATCCTCAAAGCTATCCAAATATCCTCTTGCAGATTTTACAAAAAGAGTGTTTCAAAACTGCTCTATCAAAAGAAAGGTTCAACTCTGTTAGTTGAGGGCACACATCACAAATAAACTTCTGAGAATGCTTCTGTCTAGTTTTTACGGGAAGATATTTCCTTTTTCACCATAGGCCAGAAAGCGCTCCAAATGTCCTCATCCAGATACTACAAAAAGAGTGTTTCCAACCTGCTCTATGAAAGGGAATGCTCAACTCTGTGAATTGAATGCAGACATCACAAAGAAGTTTCTGAGAATGCTGCTGTCTCCTTTTTATATGTAATCCCGTTTCCAACGAAATCCTCAAAGCTAGCCAAATATCCACTTGCAGATTCCACGAAAACAGTGTTTCAAAACTGCTCCTTCAAAACGATGGTTCAATCCTGTTAGTTGAGCAAACACATCACAAATAAGTTTCTGAGAATGCTTCCGTCTAGTTTTTATGGGAAGATATTTCCTTTTTCAACATAGGCCTGAAAGCGCTTCAAATGTCCACTTCCAGATACTACAAAAAGAGTGTTTCAAATCTGCTCTATGAATGGGAATGTTCTACTCTGTGACTTGAATGCAACATCCCAAAGAAGTTTCTGAGAATGCTTCTGTCTAGAGTTTATCTGAAGACATACCCGTTTCCAACGAAATCCTCCAAGCTATCCAAATATCCTCTTGCAGATTCTACAAAAAGAGTGTTTCAAAGCTGCTCTTTGCAAAGAAAGGTTCAACTCTGTCAGTAGAGGGGACACATCAAGAACAAGTTTCTGAGAATGCTTCTGTCTAGTTTTTATGGGAAGATATTTCCTTTTTAACGTTAGGCCTGAAAGCACGCCAAATGTTCACTTATAGACACTACAAAAAGAGTGTTTCAAACCTGCTCTGTGAAAGGGAATGTTCAACACTGTGACTTCAATTGAAACATCCCAAAGAAGTTTCTGAGAATGCTTCTGTCTAGAGTTTATCTGAAGACATTCCCGTTTCCCAAGAAATCCTCAAAGCTATCCAAATATCCTCTTGCAGATTCTACAAAAAGAGTGTTTCAAAACTGCTCTTTGCAAAGAAAGGTTCAACTCTGTCAGTAGAGGGCACACATCACAAACAAGTTTCTGAGAATGCTTCTGTCTAGTTTTTATGGGAAGATATTTCCTTTTTCACCTTAGGCCTGAAAGCAATCCAAATGTTCACTTACAGACACTACAAAAAGAGTGTTTCAAACCTGCTCTGTGAAAGGGAGTGTTCAATTCTGTGACTTGAATGCAAACATCACAAAGTAGTTTCTGACAATGCTGCTGTCTGCTTTTTATACGTATTCCCGTTTCCAACGAAATCCTCCAAGCTGGCCTAATACCCACTTGCATATTCCACAAAAAGAGTGTTTCAAAACTGCTCTCTCAAAAGAAAGGTTCAACTCTGTTTGCTGAGTAGATACATCATGAAAAAAGTTCTGACATTGCTTCTATCTAGTTTTTGTTGGAAGATATCTCCTTTTTCACCGTAGACCTGAAAGCGCTCCAAATGTCCACTTCCAGATAGTACAAAAAGAGTGTTTCAAACCTGCTCTATGAAAGGGAATGTTCAACACTGGGACTTCAATTGAAACATCCCAAAGCAGTTTCTGAGAATGCTTCTGTCTAGAGTTTACATGAAGACATTCCCGTTTCCAACGAAATCCTCAAAGCTATCCAAATATCCTCTTGCAGATTTTACAAAAAGTGTGTTTCAGAACTGCTCTATCAAAACAAAGGTTCAACACTGTCAGTTGAGGGCACACATCACAAATAAGTTTCTGAGAATGCTTCTGTCTAGTTTTCATGGGAAGATATTTCCTTTTTCACCATAGGCCTGAAAGCGATCCAAATGTCCACATCCAGATACTACAAAAAGAGTGTTTCAAACCTGCTCTATGAAAGGGAATGTTCAACTCTGTGACTTGAATGCAAACATCACAAAGAAGTTTCTGAGAATGCTGCTCTCTGCTTTTTGTATGTAATCCCGTTTCCAACGAAATCCTCCCAGCTAGCCAAATATCCACTTGCAGATTCCGCAAAAAGAGTGTTTCAAAACTGCTCCTTCAAAACGATGGTTTAGTTCTGTTAGTTGAGTACATACATCACAGATAAGTTTGCTGAGAATGCTTCTGTCTAGTTTTTATGGGAGGATATTTCCTTTTTCAACACAAGCCTGAATGCGCTCCGAATGGACACTTCCAGATATGACAAAAGGCGTGTTTCAAACCTGCTCTCTCAAAGGGAATGTTCAACTCTGTGACTTCAATGCAAACATCACAAAGAAGTTTCTGAGAATGCTGCTGTCTGCTTTTTACATGTATTCCCGTTTCCAACGAAATCCTCAAAGCTGCCCTAATATCCACTTGCATATTCCACAAAAAGAGTGTTGCAAAACTGCTCTCTCAAAAGAAAGGTTCAACTCTGTTAGCTGAGTAGATCCATCACATAAAAGTTTCTGACATTGCTTCTATCTAGATTTTCTTGGAAGATATTTCCATTTTCACCGTCGTCCTGAAAGCGCTCCAAATGTCCACTTCCAGGGAATGCAGAAAGAGTGTTTCCAACCTGCTCTATAAAAGGGAATGTTCAACACTGGGACTTCAATCGAAACATCCCAACGAAGTTTCTGAGAATGCTTCTGTCTAGAGTTTATATGAAGCCATTCCCGTTTGCAACGAAATCCTCAAAGCTATCCAAATATCCTCTTGCAGATTTTACAAAAAGAGTGTTTCAAAACTGCTCTATCAAAAGAAAGGTTCAACTCTGTTAGTTGAGGGCACACATCACAAATAAATTTCTGAGAATGCTTCTGTCTAGTTTTTACGGGAAGATATTTCCTTTTTCACCATAGGCCTGAAAGCGCTCCAAATGTCCTCATCCAGATACTACAAAAAGAGTGTTTCCAACCTGCTCTATGAAAGGGAATGCTGAACTCTGTGAATTGAATGCAGACATCACAAAGAAGTTTCTGAGAATGCTGCTGTCTCCTTTTTATATGTAATCCCGTTTCCAATGAAATCCTCAAGGCTAGCCAAATATCCACTTGCAGATTCCACGAAAACAGTGTTTCAAAACTGCTCCTTCAAAACGATGGTTCAATCCTGTTAGTTGAGCAAACACATCACAAATAAGTTTCTGAGAATGCCTCCGTCTAGTTTTTATGGGAAGATATTTCCTTTTTCAACATAGGCCTGAAAGCGCTCCAAATGTCCACTTCCAGATACTACAAAAAGAGTGTTTCAAATCTGCTCTATGAATGGGAATGTTCTACTCTGTGACTTGAATGCAACATCCCAAAGAAGTTTCTGAGAATGCTTCTGTCTAGAGTTTATCTGAAGACATACCCGTTTCCAACGAAATCCTCAAACACTATCCAAATATCCTCTTGCAGATTCTACAAAAAGTGTGTTTCAAAGCTGCTCTTTGCAAAGAAAGGTTCAACTCTGTCAGTAGAGGGCACACATCACGAACAAGTTTCTGAGAATGCTTCTGTCTAGTTTTTATGGGAAGATATTTCCTTTTTCACGTTAGGCCTGAAAGCACGCCAAATGTTCACTTATAGACACTACAAAAAGAGTGTTTCAAACCTGCTCTGTGAAAGGGAATGTTCAACACTGTGACTTCAATTGAAACATCCCAAAGAAGTTTCTGAGAATGCTTCTGTCTAGAGTTTATCTGAAGACATTCCCGTTTCCCAAGAAATCCTCAAAGCTATCCAAATATCCTCTTGCAGATTCTACAAAAAGAGTGTTTCAAAACTGCTCTTTGCAAAGAAAGGTTCAACTCTGTCAGTAGAGGGCACACATCACAAACAAGTTTCTGAGAATGCTTCTGTCTAGTTTTTATGGGAAGATATTTCCTTTTTCACCTTAGGCCTGAAAGCAATCCATATGTTCACTTACAGACACTACAAAAAGAGTGTTTCAAACCTGCTCTGTGAAAGGGAGTGTTCAATTCTGTGACTTGAATGCAAACATCACAAAGTAGTTTCTGACAATGCTGCTGTCTGCTTTTTATACGTATTCCCGTTTCCAACGAAATCCTCCAAGCTGGCCTAATACCCACTTGCATATTCCACAAAAAGAGTGTTTCAAAACTGCTCTCTCAAAAGAAAGGTTCAACTCTGTTTGCTGAGTAGATACATCATGAAAAAAGTTCTGACATTGCTTCTATCTAGTTTTTATTGGAAGATATCTCCTTTTTCACCGTAGACCTGAAAGCGCTCCAAATGTCCACTTCCAGATAGTACAAAAAGAGTGTTTCAAACCTGCTCTATGAATGGGAATGTTCAACACTGGGACTTCAATTGAAACATCCCAAAGCAGTTTCTGAGAATGCTTCTGTGTAGAGTTTACATGAAGACATTTCCGTTTCCAACGAAATCCTCAAAGCTATCCAAATATCCTCTTGCAGATTTTACAAAAAGTGTGTTTCAGAACTGCTCTATCAAAACAAAGGTTCAACACTGTCAGTTGAGGGCACACATCACAAACAAGTTTCTGAGAATGCTTCTGTCTAGTTTTCATGGGAAGATATTTCCTTTTTCACCATAGGCCTGAAAGCGATCCAAATGTCCACATCCAGATACTACAAAAAGAGTGTTTCAAACCTACTCTATGAAAGGGAATGTTCAACTCTGTGACTTGAATGCAAACATCACAAAGAAGTTTCTGAGAATGCTGCTGTCTGCTTTTTGTATGTAATCCCGTTTCCAACGAAATCCTCCCAGCTAGCCAAATATCCACTTGCAGATTCCGCAAAAAGAGTGTTTCAAAACTGCTCCTTCAAAACGATGGTTTAGTTCGGTTAGTTGAGTACATACATCACAGATAAGTTTCTGAGAATGCTTCTGTCTAGTTTTTATGGGAGGATATTTTCTTTTTCAACACAAGCCTGAATGCGCTCCGAATGGACACTTCCAGATATGACAAAAGGCGTGTTTCAAACCTGCTCTCTCAAAGGGAATGTTCAACTCTGTGACTTCAATGCAAACATCACAAAGAAGTTTCTGAGAATGCTGCTGTCTGCTTTTTACATGTATTCCCGTTTCCAACGAAATCCTCAAAGCTGCCCTAATATCCACTTGCATATTCCACAAAAAGAGTGTTGCAAAACTGCTCTCTCAAAAGAAAGGTTCAACTCTGTTAGCTGAGTAGATCCATCACAGAATAGTTTCTGACATTGCTTCTATCCAGATTTTATTGGAAGATATTTCCATTTTCACCGTCGTCCTGAAAGCGCTCCAATTGTCCACTTCCAGGGAATGCAGAAAGAGTGTTTCCAACCTGCTCTATAAAAGGGAATGTTCAACACTGGGACTTCAATCGAAACATCCCGACGAAGTTTCTGAGAATGCTTCTGTCTAGAGTTTATATGAAGCCATTCCCGTTTGCAACGAAATCCTCAAAGCTATCCAAATATCCTCTTGCAGATTTTACAAAATGAGTGTTTCAAAACTGCTCTATCAAAAGAAAGTTTCAACTCTGTTAGTTGAGGGCACACATCACAAATAAACTTCTGAGAATGCTTCTGTCTAGTTTTTACGGGAAGATATTTCCTTTTTCACCATACGCCTGAAAGCGCTCCAAATGTCCTCATCCAGATACTACAAAAAGAGTGTTTCCAACCTGCTCTATGAAAGGGAATGCTCAACTCTGTGACTTGAATGCAGACATCACAAAGAAGTTTCTGAGAATGCTGCTGTCTCCTTTTTATAGGTAATCCCGTTTCCAACGAAATCCTCAAAGCTAGCCAAATATCCACTTGCAGATTCCACGAAAACAGTGTTTCAAAACTGCTCCTTCAAAACGATGGTTCAATTCTGTTAGTTGAGCAAACACATCAGAAATAAGTTTCTGAGAATGCTTCCGTCTTGTTTTTATGGGAAGATATTTCCTTTTTCAACATAGGCCTGAAAGCGCTCCAAATGTCCACTTCCAGATACTACACAAAGAGTGTTTCAAATCTGCTCTATGAATGGGAATGTTCTACTCTGTGACTTGAATGCAACATCCCAAAGAAGTTTCTGAGAATGCTTCTGTCTAGAGTTTATCTGAAAACATACCCGTTTCCAACGAAATCCTCAAAGCTATCCAAATATCCTCTTGCAGATTCTACAAAAAGAGTGTTTCAAAGCTGCTCTTTGCAAAGAAAGGTTCAACTCTGTCAGTAGAGGGCACACATCACAAACAAGTTTCTGAGAATGCTTCTGTCTAGTTTTTATGGGAAGAGATTTCCTTTTTCACGTTAGGCCTGAAAGCACGCCAAATGTTCACTTATAGACACTACAAAAAGAGTGTTTCAAACCTGCTCTGTGAAAGGGAATGTTCAACACTGTGACTTCAATTGAAACATCCCAAAGAAGTTTCTGAGAATGCTGCTGTCTAGAGTTTATCTGAAGACATTCCCGTTTCCCAAGAAATACTCAAAGCTATCCAAATATCCTCTTGCAGATTCTACAAAAAGATGGTTTCAAAACTGCTCATTGCAAAGAAAGGTTCAACTCCGTCAGTAGAGGGCACACATCACAAAAGAGTTTCTGAGAATGCTTCTGTCAAGTTTTTATGGGAAGATATTTCCTTTTTCACCTTAGCCCTGAAAGCAATCCAAATGTTCACTTACAGACACTACAAAAAGAGTGTTTCAAATCTGCTCTGTGAAAGGGAATGTTGAATTCTGTGACTTGAATGCAAACATCACAAAGAAGTTTCTGACAACGCTGCTGTCTGCTTTTTATACGTATTCCCGTTTCCAACGAAATCCTCCAAGCTGGCCTAATACCCACTTGCATATTCCACAAAAAGAGTGTTTCAAAACTGCTCTCTCAAAAGTAAGGTTCAACTCTGTTTGCTGAGTAGATACATCATGAAAAAAGTTCTGACATTGCTTCTATCTAGTTTTTATTGGAAGATATCTCCTTTTTCACCGTAGACCTGAAAGCGCTCCAAATGTCCACTTCCAGATAGTACAAAAAGAGTGTTTCAAACCTGCTCTATGAAAGGGAATGTTCAACACTGGGACTTCAATTGAAACATCCCAAAGCTGTTTCTGAGAATGCTTCTGTGTAGAGTTTACATGAAGACATTCCCGTTTCCAAAGAAATCCTCAAAGCTATCCAAATATCCTCTTGCAGATTTTACAAAAAGTGTGTTTCAGAAGTGCTCTATCAAAACAAAGGTTCAACACTGTCAGTTGAGGGCACACATCACAAATAAGTTTCTGAGAATGCTTCTGTCTAGTTTTCATGGGAAGATATTTCCTTTTTCACCATAGGCCTGAAAGCGATCCAAATGTCCACATCCAGATACTACAAAAAGAGTGTTTCAAACCTGCTCTATGAAAGGGAATGTTCAACTCTGTGACTTGAATGCAAACATCACAAAGAAGTTTCTGAGAATGCTGCTGTCTGCTTTTTGTATGTAATCCCGTTTCCAACGAAATCCTCCCAGCTAGCCAAATATCCACTTGCAGATTCCGCAAAAAGAGTGTTTCAAAACTGCTCCTTCAAAACGATGGTTTAGTTCTGTTAGTTGAGTACATACATCACAGATAAGTTTCTGAGAATGCTTCTGTCTAGTTTTTATGGGAGGATATTTCCTTTTTCAACACAAGCCTGAATGCGCTCCGAATGGACACTTCCAGATATGACAAAAGGCGTGTTTCAAACCTGCTCTCTCAAAGGGAATGTTCAACTCTGTGACTTCAATGCAAACATCACAAAGAAGTTTCTGAGAATGCTGCTGTCTGCTTTTTACATGTATTCCCGTTTCCAACGAAATCCTCAAAGCTGCCCTAATATCCACTTGCATATTCCACAAAAAGAGTGTTGCAAAACTGCTCTCTCAAAAGAAAGGTTCAACTCTGTTAGCTGAGTAGATCCATCACAGAAAAGTTTCTGACGTTGCGTCTATCTAGATTTTCTTGGAAGATATTTCCATTTTCACCGTCGTCCTGAAAGCGCTCCAAATGTCCACTTCCAGGGAATGCAGAAAGAGTGTTTCCAACCTGCTCTATAAAAGGGAATGTTCAACACTGGGACTTCAATCGAAACATCCCAACGAAGTTTCTGAGAATGCTTCTGTCTAGAGTTTATATGAAGCCATTCCCGTTTGCAACGAAATCCTCAAAGCTATCCAAATATCCTCTTGCAGATTTTACAAAAAGAGTGTTTCAAAACTGCTCTATCAAAAGAAAGGTTCAACTCTGTTAGTTGAGGGCACACATCACAAATAAATTTCTGAGAATGCTTCTGTCTAGTTTTTACGGGAAGATATTTCCTTTTTCACCATACGCCTGAAAGCGCTCCAAATGTCCTCATCCAGATACTACAAAAAGAGTGTTTCCAACCTGCTCTATGAAAGGGAATGCTCAACTCTGTGACTTGAATGCAGACATCACAAAGAAGTTTCTGAGAATGCTGCTGTCTCCTTTTTATATGTAATCCCGTTTCCAACGAAATCCTCAAAGCTAGCCAAATATCCACTTGCAGATTCCACGAAAACAGTGTTTCAAAACTGCTCCTTCAAAACGATGGTTCAATTCTGTTAGTTGAGCAAACACATCACAAGTAAGTTTCTGAGAATGCTTCCGTCTAGTTTTTATGGGAAGATATATCCTTTTTCAACATAGGCCTGAAAGCGTTCCAAATGTCCACTTCCAGATACTACAAAAGAGTGTTTCAAATCTGCTCTATGAATGGGAATGTTCTACTCTGTGACTTGAATGCAACATCCCAAAGAAGTTTCTGAGAATGCTTCTGTCTAGAGTTTATCTGAAGACATACCCGTTTCCAACGAAATCCTCAAAGCTATCCAAATATCCTCTTGCAGATTCTACAAAAAGAGTGTTTCAAAGCTGCTCTTTGCAAAGAAAGGTTCAACTCTGTCAGTAGAGGGCACACATCACAAACAAGTTTCTGAGAATGCTTCTGTCTAGTTTTTATGGGAAGAGATTTCCTTTTTCACGTTAGGCCTGAAAGCACGCCAAATGTTCACTTATAGACACTACAAAAAGACTGTTTCAAACCTGCTCTGTGAAAGGGAATGTTCAACACTGTGACTTCAATTGAAACATCCCAAAGAAGTTTCTGAGAATGCTTCTGTCTAGAGTTTATCTGAAGACATTCCCGTTTCCCAAGAAATCCTCAAAGCTATCCAAATATCCTCTTGCAGATTCTACAAAAAGAGTGTTTCCAAACTGCTCTTTGCAAAGAAAGGTTCAACTCTGTCAGTAGAGGGCACACATCACAAACAAGTTTCTGAGAATGCTTCTGTCTAGTTTTTATGGGAAGATATTTCCTTTTTCACCTTAGGCCTGAAAGCAATCCAAATGTTCACTTACAGACACTACAAAAAGAGTGTTTCAAACCTGCTCTGTGAAAGGGAGTGTTCAATTCTGTGACTTGAATGCAAACATCACAAAGTAGTTTCTGACAATGCTGCTGTCTGCTTTTTATACGTATTCCCGTTTCCAACGAAATCCTCCAAGCTGGCCTAATACCCACTTGCATATTCCACAAAAAGAGTGTTTCAAAACTGCTCTCTCAAAAGAAAGGTTCAACTCTGTTTGCTGAGTAGATACATCATGAAAAAAGTTCTGACATTGCTTCTATCTAGTTTTTATTGGAAGATATCTCCTTTTTCACCGTAGACCTGAAAGCGCTCCAAATGTCCACTTCCAGATAGTACAAAAAGAGTGTTTCAAACCTGCTCTATGAATGGGAATGTTCAACACTGGGACTTCAATTGAAACATCCCAAAGCAGTTTCTGAGAATGCTTCTGTGTAGAGTTTACATGAAGACATTCCCGTTTCCAACGAAATCCTCAAAGCTATCCAAATATCCTCTTGCAGATTTTACAAAAAGTGTGTTTCAGAACTGCTCTATCAAAACAAAGGTTCAACACTGTCAGTTGAGGGCACACATCACAAATAAGTTTCTGAGAATGCTTCTGTCTAGTTTTCATGGGAAGATATTTCCTTTTTCACCATAGGCCTGAAAGCGATCCAAATGTCCACATCCAGATACTACAAAAAGAGTGTTTCAAACCTGCTCTATGAAAGGGAATGTTCAACTCTGTGACTTGAATGCAAACATCACAAAGAAGTTTCTGAGAATGCTGCTGTCTGCTTTTTGTATGTAATCCCGTTTCCAACGAAATCCTCCCAGCTAGCCAAATATCCACTTGCAGATTCCGCAAAAAGAGTGTTTCAAAACTGCCCTTCAAAACGATGGTTTAGTTCTGTTAGTTGAGTACATACATCACAGATAAGTTTCTGAGAATGCTTCTGTCTAGTTTTTATGGGAGGATATTTCCTTTTTCAACACAAGCCTGAATGCGCTCCGAATGGACACTTCCAGATATGACAAAAGGTGTGTTTCAAACCTGCTCTCTCAAAGGGAATGTTCAACTCTGTGACTTCAATGCAAACATCACAAAGAAGTTTCTGAGAATGCTGCTGTCTGCTTTTTACATGTATTCCCGTTTCCAACGAAATCCTCAAAGCTGCCCTAATATCCACTTGCATATTCCACAAAAAGAGTGTTGCAAAACTGCTCTCTCAAAAGAAAGGTTCAACTCTGTTAGCTGAGTAGATCCATCACAGAAAAGTTTCTGACGTTGCTTCTATCTAGATTTTCTTGGAAGATATTTCCATTTTCACCGTCGTCCTGAAAGCGCTCCAAATGTCCACTTCCAGGGAATGCAGAAAGAGTGTTTCCAACCTGCTCTATAAAAGGGAATGTTCAACACTGGGACTTCAATCGAAACATCCCAACGAAGTTTCTGAGAATGCTTCTGTCTAGAGTTTATATGAAGCCATTCCCGTTTGCAACGAAATCCTCAAAGCTATCCAAATATCCTCTTGCAGATTTTACAAAAAGAGTGTTTCAAAACTGCTCTATCAAAAGAAAGGTTCAACTCTGTTAGTTGAGGGCACACATCACAAATAAATTTCTGAGAATGCTTCTGTCTAGTTTTTACGGGAAGATATTTCCTTTTTCACCATACGCCTGAAAGCGCTCCAAATGTCCTCATCCAGATACTACAAAAAGAGTGTTTCCAACCTGCTCTATGAAAGGGAATGCTCAACTCTGTGACTTGAATGCAGACATCACAAAGAAGTTTCTGAGAATGCTGCTGTCTCCTTTTTATATGTAATCCCGTTTCCAACCAAATCCTCAAACTAGCCAAATATCCACTTGCAGATTCTACGAAAACATTGTTTCAAAACTGCTCCTTCAAAACGATGGTTCAATCCTGTTAGTTGAGCAAACACATCACAAATAAGTTTCTGAGAATGCTTCCGTCTAGTTTTTATGGGAAGATATTTCCTTTTTCAACATAGGCCTGAAAGCGCTCCAAATGTCCACTTCCAGATACTACAAAAAGAGTGTTTCAAATCTGCTCTATGAATGGGAATGTTCTACTCTGTGACTTGAATGCAACATCCCAAAGAAGTTTCTGAGAATGCTTCTGTCTAGAGTTTATCTGAAGACATACCCGTTTCCAACGAAATCCTCAAAGCTATCCAAATATCCTCTTGCAGATTCTACAAAAAGTGTGTTTCAAAGCTGCTCTTTGCAAAGAAAGGTTCAACTCTGTCAGTAGAGGGCACACATCACGAACAAGTTTCTGAGAATGCTTCTGTCTAGTTTTTATGGGAAGATATTTCCTTTTTCACGTTACGCCTGAAAGCACGCCAAATGTTCACTTATAGACACTACAAAAAGAGTGTTTCAAACCTGCTCTGTGAAAGGGAATGTTCAACACTGTGACTTCAATTGAAACATCCCAAAGAAGTTTCTGAGAATGCTTCTGTCTAGAGTTTATCTGAAGACATTCCCGTTTCCCAAGAAATCCTCAAAGCTATCCAAATATCCTCTTGCAGATTCTACAAAAAGAGTGTTTCAAAACTGCTCTTTGCAAAGAAAGGTTCAACTCTGTCAGTAGAGGGCACACATCACAAACAAGTTTCTGAGAATGCTTCTGTCTAGTTTTTATGGGAAGATATTTCCTTTTTCACCTTAGGCCTGAAAGCAATCCATATGTTCACTTACAGACACTACAAAAAGAGTGTTTCAAACCTGCTCTGTGAAAGGGAGTGTTCAATTCTGTGACTTGAATGCAAACATCACAAAGTAGTTTCTGACAATGCTGCTGTCTGCTTTTTATACGTATTCCCGTTTCCAACGAAATCCTCCAAGCTGGCCTAATACCCACTTGCATATTCCACAAAAAGAGTGTTTCAAAACTGCTCTCTCAAAAGAAAGGTTCAACTCTGTTTGCTGAGTAGATACATCATGAAAAAAGTTCTGACATTGCTTCTATCTAGTTTTTATTGGAAGATATCTCCTTTTTCACCGTAGACCTGAAAGCGCTCCAAATGTCCACTTCCAGATAGTACAAAAGGAGTGTTTCAAACCTGCTCTATGAAAGGGAATGTTCAACACTGGGACTTCAATTGAAACATCCCAAAGCAGTTTCTGAGAATGCTTCTGTCTAGAGTTTACATGAAGACATTCCCGTTTCCAACGAAATCCTCAAAGCTATCCAAATATCCTCTTGCAGATTTTACAAAAAGTGTGTTTCAGAACTGCTCTATCAAAACAAAGGTTCAACACTGTCAGTTGAGGGCACACATCACAAATAAGTTTCTGAGAATGCTTCTGTCTAGTTTTCATGGGAAGATATTTCCTTTTTCACCATAGGCCTGAAAGCGATCCAAATGTCCACATCCAGATACTACAAAAAGAGTGTTTCCAACCTGCTCTATGAAAGGGAATGCTCAACTCTGTGACTTGAAAGCAAACATCACAAAGAAGTTTCTGAGAATGCTGCTGTCTGCTTTTTGTATGTAATCCCGTTTCCAACGAAATCCTCCCAGCTAGCCAAATATCCACTTGCAGATTCCGCAAAAAGAGTGTTTCAAAACTGCTCCTTCAAAACGATGGTTTAGTTCTGTTAGTTGAGTACATACATCACAGATAAGTTTCTGAGAATGCTTCTGTCTAGTTTTTATGGGAGGATATTTCCTTTTTCAACACAAGCCTGAATGCGCTCCGAATGGACACTTCCAGATATGACAAAAGGCGTGTTTCAAACCTGCTCTCTCAAAGGGAATGTTCAACTCTGTGACTTCAATGCAAACATCACAAAGAAGTTTCTGAGAATGCTGCTGTCTGCTTTTTACATGTATTCCCGTTTCCAACGAAATCCTCAAAGCTGCCCTAATATCCACTTGCATATTCCACAAAAAGAGTGTTGCAAAACTGCTCTCTCAAAAGAAAGGTTCAACTCTGTTAGCTGAGTAGATCCATCACATAAAAGTTTCTGACATTGCTTCTATCTAGATTTTCTTGGAAGATATTTCCATTTTCACCGTCGTCCTGAAAGCGCTCCAAATGTCCACTTCCAGGGAATGCAGAAAGAGTGTTTCCAACCTGCTCTATAAAAGGGAATGTTCAACACTGGGACTTCAATCGAAACATCCCAACGAAGTTTCTGAGAATGCTTCTGTCTAGAGTTTATATGAAGCCATTCCCGTTTGCAACGAAATCCTCAAAGCTATCCAAATATCCTCTTGCAGATTTTACAAAAAGAGTGTTTCAAAACTGCTCTATCAAAAGAAAGGTTCAACTCTGTTAGTTGAGGGCACACATCACAAATAAACTTCTGAGAATGCTTCTGTCTAGTTTTTACGGGAAGATATTTCCTTTTTCACCATAGGCCTGAAAGCGCTCCAAATGTCCTCATCCAGATACTACAAAAAGAGTGTTTCCAACCTGCTCTATGAAAGGGAATGCTCAACTCTGTGAATTGAATGCAGACATCACAAAGAAGTTTCTGAGAATGCTGCTGTCTCCTTTTTATATGTAATCCCGTTTCCAACGAAATCCTCAAAGCTAGCCAAATATCCACTTGCAGATTCCACGAAAACAGTGTTTCAAAACTGCTCCTTCAAAACGATGGTTCAATCCTGTTAGTTGAGCAAACACATCACAAATAAGTTTCTGAGAATGCTTCCGTCTAGTTTTTATGGGAAGATATTTCCTTTTTCAACATAGGCCTGAAAGCGCTCCAAATGTCCACTTCCAGATACTACAAAAAGAGTGTTTCAAATCTGCTCTATGAATGGGAATGTTCTACTCTGTGACTTGAATGCAACATCCCAAAGAAGTTTCTGAGAATGCTTCTGTCTAGAGTTTATCTGAAGACATACCCGTTTCCAACGAAATCCTCCAAGCTATCCAAATATCCTCTTGCAGATTCTACAAAAAGAGTGTTTCAAAGCTGCTCTTTGCAAAGAAAGGTTCAATTCTGTCAGTAGAGGGGACACATCAAGAACAAGTTTCTGAGAATGCTTCTGTCTAGTTTTTATGGGAAGATATTTCCTTTTTCACGTTAGGCCTGAAAGCACGCCAAATGTTCACTTATAGACACTACAAAAAGAGTGTTTCAAACCTGCTCTGTGAAAGGGAATGTTCAACACTGTGACTTCAATTGAAACATCCCAAAGAAGTTTCTGAGAATGCTTCTGTCTAGAGTTTATCTGAAGACATTCCCGTTTCCCAAGAAATCCTCAAAGCTATCCAAATATCCTCTTGCAGATTCTACAAAAAGAGTGTTTCAAAACTGCTCTTTGCAAAGAAAGGTTCAACTCTGTCAGTAGAGGGCACACATCACAAACAAGTTTCTGAGAATGCTTTCTGTCTAGTTTTTATGGGAAGATATTTCCTTTTTCACCTTAGGCCTGAAAGCAATCCATATGTTCACTTACAGACACTACAAAAAGAGTGTTTCAAACCTGCTCTGTGAAAGGGAGTGTTCAATTCTGTGACTTGAATGCAAACATCACAAAGTAGTTTCTGACAATGCTGCTGTCTGCTTTTTATACGTATTCCCGTTTCCAACGAAATCCTCCAAGCTGGCCTAATACCCACTTGCATATTCCACAAAAAGAGTGTTTCAAAACTGCTCTCTCAAAAGAAAGGTTCAACTCTGTTTGCTGAGTAGATACATCATGAAAAAAGTTCTGACATTGCTTCTATCTAGTTTTTATTGGAAGATATCTCCTTTTTCACCGTAGACCTGAAAGCGCTCCAAATGTCCACTTCCAGATAGTACAAAAAGAGTGTTTCAAACCTGCTCTATGAAAGGGAATGTTCAACACTGGGACTTCAATTGAAACATCCCAAAGCAGTTTCTGAGAATGCTTCTGTCTAGAGTTTACATGAAGACATTCCCGTTTCCAACGAAATCCTCAAAGCTATCCAAATATCCTCTTGCAGATTTTACAAAAAGTGTGTTTCAGAACTGCTCTATCAAAACAAAGGTTCAACACTGTCAGTTGAGGGCACACATCACAAATAAGTTTCTGAGAATGCTTCTGTCTAGTTTTCATGGGAAGATATTTCCTTTTTCACCATAGGCCTGAAAGCGATCCAAATGTCCACATCCAGTTACTACAAAAAGAGTGTTTCAAACCTGCTCTATGAAAGGGAATGTTCAACTCTGTGACTTGAATGCAAACATCACAAAGAAGTTTCTGAGAATGCTGCTGTCTGCTTTTTGTATGTAATCCCGTTTCCAACGAAATCCTCCCAGCTAGCCAAATATCCACTTGCAGATTCCGCAAAAAGAGTGTTTCAAAACTGCTCCTTCAAAACGATGGTTTAGTTCTGTTAGTTGAGTACATACATCACAGATAAGTTTCTGAGAATGCTTCTGTCTAGTTTTTATGGGAGGATATTTCCTTTTTCAACACAAGCCTGAATGCGCTCCGAATGGACACTTCCAGATATGACAAAAGGCGTGTTTCAAACCTGCTCTCTCAAAGGGAATGTTCAACTCTGTGACTTCAATGCAAACATCACAAAGAAGTTTCTGAGAATGCTGCTGTCTGCTTTTTACATGTATTCCCGTTTCCAACGAAATCCTCAAAGCTGCCCTAATATCCACTTGCATATTCCACAAAAAGAGTGTTGCAAAACTGCTCTCTCAAAAGAAAGGTTCAACTCTGTTAGCTGAGTAGATCCATCACATAAAAGTTTCTGACGTTGCTTCTATCTAGATTTTCTTGGAAGATATTTCCATTTTCACCGTCGTCCTGAAAGCGCTCCAAATGTCCACTTCCAGGAAATGCAGAAAGAGTGTTTCCAACCTGCTCTATAAAAGGGAATGTTCAACACTGGGACTTCAATCGAAACATCCCAACGAAGTTTCTGAGAATGCTTCTGTCTAGAGTTTATATGAAGCCATTCCCGTTTGCAATGAAATCCTCAAAGCTATCCAAATATCCTCTTGCAGATTTTACAAAAAGAGTGTTTCAAAACTGCTCTATCAAAAGAAAGGTTCAACTCTGTTAGTTGAGGGCACACATCACAAATAAATTTCTGAGAATGCTTCTGTCTAGTTTTTACGGGAAGATATTTCCTTTTTCACCATACGCCTGAAAGCGCTCCAAATGTCCTCATCCAGATACTACAAAAAGAGTGTTTCCAACCTGCTCTATGAAAGGGAATGCTCAAGTCTGTGACTTGAATGCAGACATCACAAAGAAGTTTCTGAGAATGCTGCTGTCTCCTTTTTATATGTAATCCCGTTTCCAACGAAATCCTCAAAGCTAGCCAAATATCCACTTGCAGATTCCACGAAAACAGTGTTTCAAAACTGCTCCTTCAAAACGATGGTTCAATTCTGTTAGTTGAGCAAACACATCACAAGTAAGTTTCTGAGAATGCTTCCGTCTAGTTTTTATGGGAAGATATTTCCTTTTTCAACATAGGCCTGAAAGCGCTCCAAATGTCCACTTCCAGATACTACAAAAAGAGTGTTTCAAATCTGCTCTATGAATGGGAATGTTCTACTCTGTGACTTGAATGCAACATCCCAAAGAAGTTTCTGAGAATGCTTCTGTCTAGAGTTTATCTGAAGACATACCCGTTTCCAACGAAATCCTCAAAGCTATCCAAATATCCTCTTGCAGATTCTACAAAAAGAGTGTTTCAAAGCTGCTCTTTGCAAAGAAAGGTTCAACTCTGTCAGTAGAGGGCACACATCATGAACAAGTTTCTGAGAATGCTTCTGTCTAGTTTTTATGGGAAGACATTTCCTTTTTCACGTTAGGCCTGAAAGCACGCCAAATGTTCACTTATAGACACTACAAAAAGAGTGTTTCAAACCTGCTCTGTGAAAGGGAATGTTCAACACTGTGACTTCAATTGAAACATCCCAAAGAAGTTTCTGAGAATGCTTCTGTCTAGAGTTTATCTGAAGACATACCCGTTTCCAACGAAATCCTCAAAGCTATCCACATATCCTCTTGCAGATTCTACAAAAAGAGTGTTTCAAAGCTGCTCTTTGCAAAGAAAGGTTCAACTCTGTCAGTAGAGGGCACACATCACAAACAAGTTTCTGAGAATGCTTCTGTCTAGTTTTTATGGGAAGATATTTCCTTTTTCACCTTAGGCCTGAAAGCAATCCATATGTTCACTTACAGACACTACAAAAAGAGTGTTTCAAACCTGCTCTGTGAAAGGGAGTGTTCAATTCTGTGACTTGAATGCAAACATCACAAAGTAGTTTCTGACAATGCTGCTGTCTGCTTTTTATACGTATTCCCGTTTCCAACGAAATCCTCCAAGCTGGCCTAATACCCACTTGCATATTCCACAAAAAGAGTGTTTCAAAACTGCTCTCTCAAAAGAAAGGTTCAACTCTGTTAGCTGAGTAGATACATCATGAAAAAAGTTCTGACATTGCTTCTATCTAGTTTTTATTGGAAGATATCTCCTTTTTCACCGTAGACCTGAAAGCGCTCCAAATGTCCACTTCCAGATAGTACAAAAAGAGTGTTTCAAACCTGCTCTATGAATGGGAATGTTCAACACTGGGACTTCAATTGAAACATCCCAAAGCAGTTTCTGAGAATGCTTCTGTGTAGAGTTTACATGAAGACATTCCCGTTTCCAACGAAATCCTCAAAGCTATCCAAATATCCTCTTGCAGATTTTACAAAAAGTGTGTTTCAGAACTGCTCTATCAAAACAAAGGTTCAACACTGTCAGTTGAGGGCACATATCACAAATAAGTTTCTGAGAATGCTTCTGTCTAGTTTTCATGGGAAGATATTTCCTTTTTCACCATAGGCCTGAAAGCGATCCAAATGTCCACATCCAGATACTACAAAAAGAGTGTTTCAAACCTGCTCTATGAAAGGGAATGTTCAACTCTGTGACTTGAATGCAAACATCACAAAGAAGTTTCTGAGAATGCTGCTGTCTGCTTTTTGTATGTAATCCCGTTTCCAACGAAATCCTCCCAGCTAGCCAAATATCCACTTGCAGATTCCGCAAAAAGAGTGTTTCAAAACTGCTCCTTCAAAACGATGGTTTAGTTCTGTTAGTTGAGTACATACATCACAGATAAGTTTCTGAGAATGCTTCTGTCTAGTTTTTCTGGGAGGATATTTCCTTTTTCAACACAAGCCTGAATGCGCTCCGAATGGACACTTCCAGATATGACAAAAGGCGTGTTTCAAACCTGCTCTCTCAAAGGGAATGTTCAACTCTGTGACTTGAATGCAACCATCACAAAGAAGTTTCTGAGAATGCTGCTGTCTGCTTTTTACATGTATTCCCGTTTCCAACGAAATCCTCAAAGCTGCCCTAATATCCACTTGCATATTCCACAAAAAGAGTGTTGCAAAACTGCTCTCTCAAAAGAAAGGTTCAACTCTGTTAGCTGAGTAGATCCATCACATAAAAGTTTCTGACGTTGCTTCTATCTAGATTTTCTTGGAAGATATTTCCATTTTCACCGTCGTCCTGAAAGCGCTCCAAATGTCCACTTCCAGGGAATGCAGAAAGAGTGTTTCCAACCTGCTCTATAAAAGGGAATGTTCAACACTGGGACTTCAATCGAAACATCCCAACGAAGTTTCTGAGAATGCTTCTGTCTAGAGTTTATATGAAGCCATTCCCGTTTGCAACGAAATCCTCAAAGCTATCCAAATATCCTCTTGCAGATTTTACAAAAAGAGTGTTTCAAAACTGCTCTATCAAAAGAAAGGTTCAACTCTGTTAGTTGAGGGCACACATCACAAATAAACTTCTGAGAATGCTTCTGTCTAGTTTTTACGGGAAGATATTTCCTTTTTCACCATACGCCTGAAAGCGCTCCAAATGTCCTCATCCAGATACTACAAAAAGAGTGTTTCCAACCTGCTCTATGAAAGGGAATGCTCAACTCTGTGAATTGAATGCAGACATCACAAAGAAGTTTCTGAGAATGCTGCTGTCTCCTTTTTATATGTAATCCCGTTTCCAACGAAATCCTCAAAGCTAACCAAATATCCACTTGCAGATTCCACGAAAACAGTGTTTCAAAACTGCTCCTTCAAAACGATGGTTCAATCCTGTTAGTTGAGCAAACACATCACAAATAAGTTTCTGAGAATGCTTCCGTCTAGTTTTTATGGGAAGATATTTCCTTTTTCAACATAGGCCTGAAAGCGCTCCAAATGTCCACTTCCAGATACTACAAAAAGAGTGTTTCAAATCTGCTCTATGAATGGGAATGTTCTACTCTGTGACTTGAATGCAACATCCCAAAGAAGTTTCTGAGAATGCTTCTGTCTAGAGTTTATCTGAAGACATACCCGTTTCCAACGAAATCCTCCAAGCTATCCAAATATCCTCTTGCAGATTCTACAAAAAGAGTGTTTCAAAGCTGCTCTTTGCAAAGAAAGGTTCAACTCTGTCAGTAGAGGGGACACATCAAGAACAAGTTTCTGAGAATGCTTCTGTCTAGTTTTTATGGGAAGATATTTCCTTTTTCACGTTAGGCCTGAAAGCACGCCAAATGTTCACTTATAGACACTACAAAAAGAGTGTTTCAAACCTGCTCTGTGAAAGGGAATGTTCAACACTGACTTCAATTGAAACATCCCAAAGAAGTTTCTGAGAATGCTTCTGTCTAGAGTTTATCTGAAGACATTCCCGTTTCCCAAGAAATCCTCAAAGCTATCCAAATATCCTCTTGCAGATTCTACAAAAAGAGTGTTTCAAAGCTGCTCTTTGCAAAGAAAGGTTCAACTCTGTCAGTAGAGGGCACACATCACAAACAAGTTTCTGAGAATGCTTCTGTCTAGTTTTTATGGGAAGATATTTCCTTTTTCACCTTAGGCCTGAAAGCAATCCAAATGTTCACTTACAGACACTACAAAAAGAGTGTTTCAAACCTGCTCTGTGAAAGGGAGTGTTCAATTCTGTGACTTGAATGCAAACATCACAAAGTAGTTTCTGACAATGCTGCTGTCTGCTTTTTATACGTATTCCCGTTTCCAACGAAATCCTCCAAGCTGGCCTAATACCCACTTGCATATTCCACAAAAAGAGTGTTTCAAAACTGCTCTCTCAAAAGAAAGGTTCAACTCTGTTTGCTGAGTAGATACATCATGAAAAAAGTTCTGACATTGCTTCTATCTAGTTTTTATTGGAAGATATCTCCTTTTTCACCGTAGACCTGAAAGCGCTCCAAATGTCCACTTCCAGATAGTACAAAAAGAGTGTTTCAAACCTGCTCTATGAAAGGGAATGTTCAACACTGGGACTTCAATTGAAACATCCCAAAGCAGTTTCTGAGAATGCTTCTGTGTAGAGTTTACATGAAGACATTCCCGTTTCCAACGAAATCCTCAAAGCTATCCAAATATCCTCTTGCAGATTTTACAAAAGGTGTGTTTCAGAACTGCTCTATCAAAACAAAGGTTCAACACTGTCAGTTGAGGGCACACATCACAAATAAGTTTCTGAGAATGCTTCTGTCTAGTTTTCATGGGAAGATATTTCCTTTTTCACCATAGGCCTGAAAGCGATCCAAATGTCCACATCCAGATACTACAAAAAGAGTGTTTCAAACCTGCTCTATGAAAGGGAATGTTCAACTCTGTGACTTGAATGCAAACATCACAAAGAAGTTTCTGAGAATGCTGCTGTCTGCTTTTTGTATGTAATCCCGTTTCCAACGAAATCCTCCCAGCTAGCCAAATATCCACTTGCAGATTCCGCAAAAAGAGTGTTTCAAAACTGCTCCTTCAAAACGATGGTTTAGTTCTGTTAGTTGAGTACATACATCACAGATAAGTTTCTGAGAATGCTTCTGTCTAGTTTTTATGGGAGGATATTTCCTTTTTCAACACAAGCCTGAATGCGCTCCGAATGGACACTTCCAGATATGACAAAAGGCGTGTTTCAAACCTGCTCTCTCAAAGGGAATGTTCAACTCTGTGACTTCAATGCAAACATCACAAAGAAGTTTCTGAGAATGCTGCTGTCTGCTTTTTACATGTATTCCCGTTTCCAACGAAATCCTCAAAGCTGCCCTAATATCCACTTGCATATTCCACAAAAAGAGTGTTGCAAAACTGCTCTCTCAAAAGAAAGGTTCAACTCTGTTAGCTGAGTAGATCCATCACATAAAAGTTTCTGACATTGCTTCTATCTAGATTTTCTTGGAAGATATTTCCATTTTCACCGTCGTCCTGAAAGCGCTCCAAATGTCCACTTCCAGGGAATGCAGAAAGAGTGTTTCCAACCTGCTCTATAAAAGGGAATGTTCAACACTGGGACTTCAATCGAAACATCCCAACGAAGTTTCTGAGAATGCTTCTGTCTAGAGTTTATATGAAGCCATTCCCGTTTGCAACGAAATCCTCAAAGCTATCCAAATATCCTCTTGCAGATTTTACAAAAAGAGTGTTTCAAAACTGCTCTATCAAAAGAAAGGTTCAACTCTGTTAGTTGAGGGCACACATCACAAATAAACTTCTGAGAATGCTTCTGTCTAGTTTTTACGGGAAGATATTTCCTTTTTCACCATACGCCTGAAAGCGCTCCAAATGTCCTCATCCAGATACTACAAAAAGAGTGTTTCCAACCTGCTCTATGAAAGGGAATGCTCAACTCTGTGAATTGAATGCAGACATCACAAAGAAGTTTCTGAGAATGCTGCTGTCTCCTTTTTATATGTAATCCCGTTTCCAACGAAATCCTCAAAGCTAGCCAAATATCCACTTGCAGATTCCACGAAAACAGTGTTTCAAAACTGCTCCTTCAAAACGATGGTTCAATCCTGTTAGTTGAGCAAACACATCACAAATAAGTTTCTGAGAATGCTTCCGTCTAGTTTTTATGGGAAGATATTTCCTTTTTCAACATAGGCCTGAAAGCGCTCCAAATGTCCACTTCCAGATACTACAAAAAGAGTGTTTCAAATCTGCTCTATGAATGGGAATGTTCTACTCTGTGACTTGAATGCAACATCCCAAAGAAGTTTCTGAGAATGCTTCTGTCTAGAGTTTATCTGAAGACATACCCGTTTCCAACGAAATCCTCCAAGCTATCCAAATATCCTCTTGCAGATTCTACAGAAAGAGTGTTTCAAAGCTGCTCTTTGCAAAGAAAGGTTCAACTCTGTCAGTAGAGGGCACACATCACGAACAAGTTTCTGAGAATGCTTCTATCTAGTTTTTATGGGAAGATATTTCCTTTTTCACGTTAGGCCTGAAAGTACGCCAAATGTTCACTTATAGACACTACAAAAAGAGTGTTTCAAACCTGCTCTGTGAAAGGGAATGTTCAACACTGTGACTTCAATTGAAACATCCCAAAGAAGTTTCTGAGAATGCTTCTGTCTAGAGTTTATCTGAAGACATTCCCGTTTCCCAAGAAATCCTCAAAGCTATCCAAATATCCTCTTGCAGATTCTACAAAAAGAGTGTTTCAAAACTGGTCTTTGCAAAGAAAGGTTCAACTCTGTCAGTAGAGGGCACACATCACAAACAAGTTTCTGAGAATGCTTCTGTCTAGTTTTTATGGGAAGATATTTCCTTTTTCACCTTAGGCCTGAAAGCAATCCAAATGTTCACTTACAGACACTACAAAAAGAGTGTTTCAAACCTGCTCTGTGAAAGGGAGTGTTCAATTCTGTGACTTGAATGCAAACATCACAAAGTAGTTTCTGACAATGCTGCTGTCTGCTTTTTATACGTATTCCCGTTTCCAACGAAATCCTCCAAGCTGGCCTAATACCCACTTGCATATTCCACAAAAAGAGTGTTTCAAAACTGCTCTCTCAAAAGAAAGGTTCAACTCTGTGTGCTGAGTAGATACATCATGAAAAAAGTTCTGACATTGCTTCTATCTAGTTTTTATTGGAAGATATCTCCTTTTTCACCGTAGACCTGAAAGCGCTCCAAATGTCCACTTCCAGATAGTACAAAAAGAGTGTTTCAAACCTGCTCCTATGAAAGGGAATGTTCAACACTGGGACTTCAATTGAAACATCCCAAAGCAGTTTCTGAGAATGCTTCTGTGTAGAGTTTACATGAAGACATTCCCGTTTCCAACGAAATCCTCAAAGCTATCCAAATATCCTCTTGCAGATTTTACAAAAAGTGTGTTTCAGAACTGCTCTATCAAAACAAAGGTTCAACACTGTCAGTTGAGGGCACACATCACAAATAAGTTTCTGAGAATGCTTCTGTCTAGTTTTCATGGGAAGATATTTCCTTTTTCACCATAGGCCTGAAAGCGATCCAAATGTCCACATCCAGATACTACAAAAAGAGTGTTTCAAACCTGCTCTATGAAAGGGAATGTTCAACTCTGTGACTTGAATGCAAACATCACAAAGAAGTTTCTGAGAATGCTGCTGTCTGCTTTTTGTATGTAATCCCGTTTCCAACGAAATCCTCCCAGCTAGCCAAATATCCACTTGCAGATTCCGCAAAAAGAGTGTTTCAAAACTGCTCCTTCAAAACGGTGGTTTAGTTCTGTTAGTTGAGTACATACATCACAGATAAGTTTCTGAGAATGCTTCTGTCTAGTTTTTATGGGAGGATATTTCCTTTTTCAACACAAGCCTGAATGCGCTCCGAATGGACACTTCCAGATATGACAAAAGGCGTGTTTCAAACCTGCTCTCTCAAAGGGAATGTTCAACTCTGTGACTTCAATGCAAACATCACAAAGAAGTTTCTGAGAATGCTGCTGTCTGCTTTTTACATGTATTCCCGTTTCCAACGAAATCCTCAAAGCTGCCCTAATATCCACTTGCATATTCCACAAAAAGAGTGTTGCAAAACTGCTCTCTCAAAAGAAAGGTTCAACTCTGTTAGCTGAGTAGATCCATCACAGAAAAGTTTCTGACGTTGCTTCTATCTAGATTTTATTGGAAGATATTTCCATTTTCACCGTCGTCCTGAAAGCGCTCCAAATGTCCACTTCCAGGGAATGCAGAAAGAGTGTTTCCAACCTGCTCTATAAAAGGGAATGTTCAACACTGGGACTTCAATCGAAACATCCCAACGAAGTTTCTGAGAATGCTTCTGTCTAGAGTTTATATGAAGCCATTCCCGTTTGCAACGAAATCCTCAAAGCTATCCAAATATCCTCTTGCAGATTTTACAAAATGAGTGTTTCAAAACTGCTCTATCAAAAGAAAGGTTCAAGTCTGTTAGTTGAGGGCACACATCACAAATAAACTTCTGAGAATGCTTCTGTCTAGTTTTTACGGGAAGATATTTCCTTTTTCACCATACGCCTGAAAGCGCTCCAAATGTCCTCATCCAGATACTACAAAAAGAGTGTTTCCAACCTGCTCTATGAAAGGGAATGCTCAACTCTGTGAATTGAATGCAGACATCACAAAGAAGTTTCTGAGAATGCTGCTGTCTCCTTTTTATATGTAATCCCGTTTCCAACGAAATCCTCAAAGCTAGCCAAATATCCACTTGCAGATTCCACGAAAACAGTGTTTCAAAACTGCTCCTTCAAAACGATGGTTCAATCCTGTTAGTTGAGCAAACACATCACAAATAAGTTTCTGAGAATGCTTCCGTCTAGTTTTTATGGGAAGATATTTCCTTTTTCAACATAGGCCTGAAAGCGCTCCAAATGTCCACTTCCAGATACTACAAAAAGAGTGTTTCAAATCTGCTCTATGAATGGGAATGTTCTACTCTGTGACTTGAATGCAACATCCCAAAGAAGTTTCTGAGAATGCTTCTGTCTAGAGTTTATCTGAAGACATACCCGTTTCCAACGAAATCCTCAAAGCTATCCAAATATCCTCTGGCAGATTCTACAAAAAGAATGTTTCAAAGCTGCTCTTTGCAAAGAAAGGTTCAAGTCTGTCAGTAGAGGGCACACATCACGAACAAGTTTCTGAGAATGCTTCTGTCTAGTTTTTATGGGAAGATATTTCCTTTTTCACGTTAGGCCTGAAAGCACGCCAAATGTTCACTTATAGACACTACAAAAAGAGTGTTTCAAACCTGCTCTGTGAAAGGGAATGTTCAACACTGTGACTTCAATTGAAACATCCCAAAGAAGTTTCTGAGAATGCTTCTGTCTAGAGTTTATCTGAAGACATTCCCGTTTCCCAAGAAATCCTCAAAGCTATCCAAATATCCTCTTGCAGATTCTACAAAAAGAGTGTTTCAAAACTGCTCTTTGCAAAGAAAGGTTCAACTCTGTCAGTAGAGGGCACACATCACAAACAAGTTTCTGAGAATGCTTCTGTCTAGTTTTTATGGGAAGATATTTCCTTTTTCACCTTAGGCCTGAAAGCAATCCAAATGTTCACTTACAGACACTACAAAAAGAGTGTTTCAAACCTGCTCTGTGAAAGGGAGTGTTCAATTCTGTGACTTGAATGCAAACATCACAAAGTAGTTTCTGACAATGCTGCTGTCTGCTTTTTATACGTATTCCCGTTTCCAACGAAATCCTCCAAGCTGGCCTAATACCCACTTGCATATTCCACAAAAAGAGTGTTTCAAAACTGCTCTCTCAAAAGAAAGGTTCAACTCTGTTTGCTGAGTAGATACATCATGAAAAAAGTTCTGACATTGCTTCTATCTAGTTTTTATTGGAAGATATCTCCTTTTTCACCGTAGACCAGAAAGCGCTCCAAATGTCCACTTCCAGATAGTACAAAAAGAGTGTTTCAAACCTGCTCTATGAAAGGGAATGTTCAACACTGGGACTTCAATTGAAACATCCCAAAGCAGTTTCTGAGAATGCTTCTGTCTAGAGTTTACATGAAGACATTCCCGTTTCCAACGAAATCCTCAAAGCTATCCAAATATCCTCTTGCAGATTTTACAAAAAGTGTGTTTCAGAACTGCTCTATCAAAACAAAGGTTCAACACTGTCAGTTGAGGGCACACATCACAAATAAGTTTCTGAGAATGCTTCTGTCTAGTTTTCATGGGAAGATATTTCCTTTTTCACCATAGGCCTGAAAGCGATCCAAATGTCCACATCCAGATACTACAAAAAGAGTGTTTCAAACCTGCTCTATGAAAGGGAATGTTCAACTCTGTGACTTGAATGCAAACATCACAAAGAAGTTTCTGAGAATGCTGCTGTCTGCTTTTTGTATGTAATCCCGTTTCCAACGAAATCCTCCCAGCTAGCCAAATATCCACTTGCAGATTCCGCAAAAAGAGTGTTTCAAAACTGCTCCTTCAAAACGATGGTTTAGTTCTGTTAGTTGAGTACATACATCACAGATAAGTTTCTGAGAATGCTTCTGTCTAGTTTTTATGGGAGGATATTTCCTTTTTCAACACAAGCCTGAATGCGCTCCGAATGGACACTTCCAGATATGACAAAAGGCGTGTTTCAAACCTGCTCTCTCAAAGGGAATGTTCAACTCTGTGACTTCAATGCAAACATCACAAAGAAGTTTCTGAGAATGCTGCTGTCTGCTTTTTACATGTATTCCCGTTTCCAACGAAATCCTCAAAGCTGCCCTAATATCCACTTGCATATTCCACAAAAAGAGTGTTGCAAAACTGCTCTCTCAAAAGAAAGGTTCAACTCTGTTAGCTGAGTAGATCCATCACAGAAAAGTTTCTGACATTGCTTCTATCTAGATTTTATTGGAAGATATTTCCATTTTCACCGTCGTCCTGAAAGCGCTCCAAATGTCCACTTCCAGGGAATGCAGAAAGAGTGTTTCCAACCTGCTCTATAAAAGGGAATGTTCAACACTGGGACTTCAATCAAAACATCCCAACGAAGTTTCTGAGAATGCTTCTGTCTAGAGTTTATATGAAGCCATTCCCGTTTGCAACGAAATCCTCAAAGCTATCCAAATATCCTCTTGCAGATTTTACAAAAAGAGTGTTTCAAAACTGCTCTATCAAAAGAAAGGTTCAACTCTGTTAGTTGAGGGCACACATCTCAAATAAACTTCTGAGAATGCTTCTGTCTAGTTTTTACGGGAAGATATTTCCTTTTTCACCATACGCCTGAAAGCGCTCCAAATGTCCTCATCCAGATACTACAAAAAGAGTGTTTCCAACCTGCTCTATGAAAGGGAATGCTCAACTCTGTGACTTGAATGCAGACATCACAAAGAAGTTTCTGAGAATGCTGCTGTCTCCTTTTTATATGTAATCCCGTTTCCAACGAAATCCTCAAAGCTAGCCAAATATCCACTTGCAGATTCCACGAAAACAGTGTTTCAAAACTGCTCCTTCAAAACGATGGTTCAATTCTGTTAGTTGAGCAAACACATCACAAGTAAGTTTCTGAGAATGCTTCCGTCTAGTTTTTATGGGAAGATATTTCCTTTTTCAACATAGGCCTGAAAGCGCTCCAAATGTCCACTTCCAGATACTACAAAAAGAGTGTTTCAAATCTGCTCTATGAATGGGAATGTTCTACTCTGTGACTTGAATGCAACATCCCAAAGAAGTTTCTGAGAATGCTTCTGTCTAGAGTTTATCTGAAGACATACCCGTTTCCAACGAAATCCTCAAAGCTATCCAAATATCCTCTTGCAGATTCTACAAAAAGAGTGTTTCAAAGCTGCTCTTTGCAAAGAAAGGTTCAACTCTGTCAGTAGAGGGCACACATCACGAACAAGTTTCTGAGAATGCTTCTGTCTAGTTTTTATGGGAAGATATTTCCTTTTTCACCTTAGGCCTGAAAGCACGCCAAATGTTCACTTATAGACACTACAAAAAGAGTGTTTCAAACCTGCTCTGTGAAAGGGAATGTTCAACACTGTGACTTCAATTGAAATATCCCAAAGAAGTTTCTGAGAATGCTTCTGTCTAGAGTTTATCTGAAGACATTCCCGTTTCCCAAGAAATCCTCAAAGCTATCCAAATATCCTCTTGCAGATTCTACAAAAAGAGTGTTTCAAAACTGCTCTTTGCAAAGAAAGGTTCAACTCTGTCAGTAGAGGGCACACATCACAAACAAGTTTCTGAGAATGCTTCTGTCTAGTTTTTATGGGAAGATATTTCCTTTTTCACCTTAGGCCTGAAAGCAATCCAAATGTTCACTTACAGACACTACAAAAAGAGTGTTTCAAACCTGCTCTGTGACAGGGAGTGTTCAATTCTGTGACTTGAATGCAAACATCACAAAGTAGTTTCTGACAATGCTGCTGTCTGCTTTTTATACGTATTCCCGTTTCCAACGAAATCCTCCAAGCTGGCCTAATACCCACTTGCATATTCCACAAAAAGAGTGTTTCAAAACTGCTCTCTCAAAAGAAAGGTTCAACTCTGTTTGCTGAGTAGATACATCATGAAAAAGGTTCTGACATTGCTTCTATCTAGTTTTTATTGGAAGATATCTCCTTTTTCACCGTAGACCTGAAAGCGCTCCAAATGTCCACTTCCAGATAGTACAAAAAGAGTGTTTCAAACCTGCTCTATGAAAGGGAATGTTCAACACTGGGACTTCAATTGAAACATCCCAAAGCAGTTTCTGAGAATGCTTCTGTGTAGAGTTTACATGAAGACATTCCCGTTTCCAACGAAATCCTCAAAGCTATCCAAATATCCTCTTGCAGATTTTACAAAAAGTGTGTTTCAGAACTGCTCTATCAAAACAAAGGTTCAACACTGTCAGTTGAGGGCACACATCACAAATAAGTTTCTGAGAATGCTTCTGTCTAGTTTTCATGGGAAGATATTTCCTTTTTCACCATAGGCCTGAAAGCGATCCAAATGTCCACATCCAGATACTACAAAAAGAGTGTTTCAAACCTGCTCTATGAAAGGGAATGTTCAACTCTGTGACTTGAATGCAAACATCACAAAGAAGTTTCTGAGAATGCTGCTGTCTGCTTTTTGTATGTAATCCCGTTTCCAACGAAATCCTCCCAGCTAGCCAAATATCCACTTGCAGATTCCGCAAAAAGAGTGTTTCAAAACTGCTCCTTCAAAACGATGGTTTAGTTCTGTTAGTTGAGTACATACATCACAGATAAGTTTCTGAGAATGCTTCTGTCTAGTTTTTATGGGAGGATATTTCCTTTTTCAACACAAGCCTGAATGCGCTCCGAATGGACACTTCCAGATATGACAAAAGGTGTGTTTCAAACCTGCTCTCTCAAAGGGAATGTTCAACTCTGTGACTTCAATGCAAACATCACAAAGAAGTTTCTGAGAATGCTGCTGTCTGCTTTTTACATGTATTCCCGTTTCCAACGAAATCCTCAAAGCTGCCCTAATATCCACTTGCATATTCCACAAAAAGAGTGTTGCAAAACTGCTCTCTCAAAAGAAAGGTTCAACTCTGTTAGCTGAGTAGATCCATCACATAAAAGTTTCTGACATTGCTTCTATCTAGATTTTCTTGGAAGATATTTCCATTTTCACCGTCGTCCTGAAAGCCCTCCAAATGTCCACTTCCAGGGAATGCAGAAAGAGTGTTTCCAACCTGCTCTATAAAAGGGAATGTTCAACACTGGGACTTCAATCGAAACATCCCAACGAAGTTTCTGAGAATGCTTCTGTCTAGAGTTTATATGAAGCCATTCCCGTTTGCAACGAAATCCTCAAGCTATCCAAATATCCTCTTGCAGATTTTACAAAAAGAGTGTTTCAAAACTGCTCTATCAAAAGAAAGGTTCAACTCTGTTAGTTGAGGGCACACATCACAAATAAATTTCTGAGAATGCTTCTGTCTAGTTTTTACGGGAAGATATTTCCTTTTTCACCATACGCCTGAAAGCGCTCCAAATGTCCTCATCCAGATACTACAAAAAGAGTGTTTCCAACCTGCTCTATGAAAGGGAATGCTCAACTCTGTGACTTGAATGCAGACATCACAAAGAAGTTTCTGAGAATGCTGCTGTCTCCTTTTTATATGTAATCCCGTTTCCAACGAAATCCTCAAAGCTAGCCAAATATCCACTTGCAGATTCCACGAAAACAGTGTTTCAAAACTGCTCCTTCAAAACGATGGTTCAATTCTGTTAGTTGAGCAAACACATCACAAGTAAGTTTCTGAGAATGCTTCCGTCTAGTTTTTATGGGAAGATATTTCCTTTTTCAACATAGGCCTGAAAGCGCTCCAAATGTCCACTTCCAGATACTACAAAAAGAGTGTTTCAAATCTGCTCTATGAATGGGAATGTTCTACTCTGTGACTTGAATGCAACATCCCAAAGAAGTTTCTGAGAATGCTTCTGTCTAGAGTTTATCTGAAGACATACCCGTTTCCAACGAAATCCTCAAAGCTATCCAAATATCCTCTTGCAGATTCTACAAAAAGAGTGTTTCAAAGCTGCTCTTTGCAAAGAAAGGTTCAACTCTGTCAGTAGAGGGCACACATCATGAACAAGTTTCTGAGAATGCTTCTGTCTAGTTTTTATGGGAAGATATTTCCTTTTTCACGTTAGGCCTGAAAGCACGCGAAATATTCACTTATACACACTACAAAAAGAGTGTTTCAAACCTGCTCTGTGAAAGGGAATGTTCAACACTGTGACTTCAATTGAAACATCCCAAAGAAGTTTCTGAGAATGCTTCTGTCTAGAGTTTATCTGAAGACATTCCCGTTTCCCAAGAAATCTTCAAAGCTATCCAAATATCCTCTTGCAGATTCTACAAAAAGAGTGTTTCAAAACTGCTCTTTGCAAAGAAAGGTTCAAATCTGTCAGTAGAGGGCACACATCACAAACAAGTTTCTGAGAATGCTCTGTCTAGTTTTTATGGGAAGATATTTCCTTTTTCACCTTAGGCCTGAAAGCAATCCAAATGTTCACTTACAGACACTACAAAAAGAGTGTTTCAAACCTGCTCTGTGAAAGGGAGTGTTCAATTCTGTGACTTGAATGCAAACATCACAAAGTAGTTTCTGACAATGCTGGCTGTCTGCTTTTTATACGTATTCCCGTTTCCAACGAAATCCTCCAAGCTGGCCTAATACCCACTTGCATATTCCACAGAAAGAGTGTTTCGAAACTGCTCTCTCAAAAGAAAGGTTCAACTCTGTTTGCTGAGTAGATACATCATGAAAAAAGTTCTGACATTGCTTCTATCTAGTTTTTATTGGAAGATATCTCCTTTTTCACCGTAGACCTGAAAGCGCTCCAAATGTCCACTTCGAGATAGTACAAAAAGAGTGTTTCAAACCTGCTCTATGAAAGGGAATGTTCAGCACTGGGACTTCAATTGAAACATCCCAAAGCAGTTTCTGAGAATGCTTCTGTCTAGAGTTTACATGAAGACATTCCCGTTTCCAACGAAATCCTCAAAGCTATCCAAATATCCTCTTGCAGATTTTACAAAAAGTGTGTTTCAGAACTGCTCTATCAAAACAAAGGTTCAACACTGTCAGTTGAGGGCACACATCACAAATAAGTTTCTGAGAATGCTTCTGTCTAGTTTTCATGGGAAGATATTTCCTTTTTCACCATAGGCCTGAAAGCGATCCAAATGTCCACATCCAGATACTACAAAAAGAGTGTTTCCAACCTGCTCTATGAAAGGGAATGTTCAACTCTGTGACTTGAATGCAAACATCACAAAGAAGTTTCTGAGAATGCTGCTGTCTCCTTTTTATATGTAATCCCGTTTCCAACGAAATCCTCAAAGCTAGCCAAATATCCACTTGCAGATTCCACGAAAACAGTGTTTCAAAACTGCTCCTTCAAAACGATGGTTCAATCCTGTTAGTTGAGCAAACACATCACAAATAAGTTTCTGAGAATGCTTCCGTCTAGTTTTTATGGGAAGATATTTCCTTTTTCAACATAGGCCTGAAAGCGCTCCAAATGTCCACTTCCAGATACTACAAAAAGAGTGTTTCAAATCTGCTCTATGAATGGGAATGTTCTACTCTGTGACTTGAATGCAACATCCCAAAGAAGTTTCTGAGAATGCTTCTGTCTAGAGTTTATCTGAAGACATACCCGTTTCCAACGAAATCCTCCAAGCTATCCAAATATCCTCTTGCAGATTCTACAAAAAGAGTGTTTCAAAGCTGCTCTTTGCAAAGAAAGGTTCAACTCTGTCAGTAGAGGGGACACATCAAGAACAAGTTTCTGAGAATGCTTCTGTCTAGTTTTTATGGGAAGATATTTCCTTTTTCACGTTAGGCCTGAAAGCACGCCAAATGTTCACTTATAGACACTACAAAAAGAGTGTTTCAAACCTGCTCTGTGAAAGGGAATGTTCAACACTGTGACTTCAATTGAAACATCCCAAAGAAGTTTCTGAGAATGCTTCTGTCTAGAGTTTATCTGAAGACATTCCCGTTTCCCAAGAAATCCTCAAAGCTATCCAAATATCCTCTTGCAGATTCTACAAAAAGAGTGTTTCAAAACTGCTCTTTGCAAAGAAAGGTTCAACTCTGTCAGTAGAGGGCACACATCACAAACAAGTTTCTGAGAATGCTTCTGTCTAGTTTTTATGGGAAGATATTTCCTTTTTCACCTTAGGCCTGAAAGCAATCCAAATGTTCACTTACAGACACTACAAAAAGAGTGTTTCAAACCTGCTCTGTGAAAGGGAGTGTTCAATTCTGTGACTTGAATGCAAACATCACAAAGTAGTTTCTGACAATGCTGCTGTCTGCTTTTTATACGTATTCCCGTTTCCAACGAAATCCTCCAAGCTGGCCTAATACCCACTTGCATATTCCACAAAAAGAGTGTTTCAAAACTGCTCTCTCAAAAGAAAGGTTCAACTCTGTTTGCTGAGTAGATACATCATGAAAAAAGTTCTGACATTGCTTCTATCTAGTTTTTATTGGAAGATATCTCCTTTTTCACCGTAGACCTGAAAGCGCTCCAAATGTCCACTTCCAGATAGTACAAAAAGAGTGTTTCAAACCTGCTCTATGAAAGGGAATGTTCAACACTGGGACTTCAATTGAAACATCCCAAAGCAGTTTCTGAGAATGCTTCTGTCCAGAGTTTACATGAAGACATTCCCGTTTCCAACGAAATCCTCAAAGCTATCCAAATATCCTCTTGCAGATTTTACAAAAAGTGTGTTTCAGAACTGCTCTATCAAAACAAAGGTTCAACACTGTCAGTTGAGGGCACACATCACAAATAAGTTTCTGAGAATGCTTCTGTCTAGTTTTCATGGGAAGATATTTCCTTTTTCACCATAGGCCTGAAAGCGATCCAAATGTCCACATCCAGATACTACAAAAAGAGTGTTTCAAACCTGCTCTATGAAAGGGAATGTTCAACTCTGTGACTTGAATGCAAACATCACAAAGAAGTTTCTGAGAATGCTGCTGTCTGCTTTTTGTATGTAATCCCATTTCCAACGAAATCCTCCCAGCTAGCCAAATATCCACTTGCAGATTCCGCAAAAAGAGTGTTTCAAAACTGCTCCTTCAAAACGATGGTTTAGTTCTGTTAGTTGAGTACATACATCACAGATAAGTTTCTGAGAATGCTTCTGTCTAGTTTTTATGGGAGGATATTTCCTTTTTCAACACAAGCCTGAATGCGCTCCGAATGGACACTTCCAGATATGACAAAAGGCGTGTTTCAAACCTGCTCTCTCAAAGGGAATGTTCAACTCTGTGACTTCAATGCAAACATCACAAAGAAGTTTCTGAGAATGCTGCTGTCTGCTTTTTACATGTATTCCCGTTTCCAACGAAATCCTCAAAGCTGCCCTAATATCCACTTGCATATTCCACAAAAAGAGTGTTGCAAAACTGCTCTCTCAAAAGAAAGGTTCAACTCTGTTAGCTGAGTAGATCCATCACATAAAAGTTTCTGACGTTGCTTCTATCTAGATTTTATTGGAAGATATTTCCATTTTCACCGTCGTCCTGAAAGCGCTCCAAATGTCCACTTCCAGGGAATGCAGAAAGAGTGTTTCCAACCTGCTCTATAAAAGGGAATGTTCAACACTGGGACTTCCATCGAAACATCCCAACGAAGTTTCTGAGAATGCTTCTGTCTAGAGTTTATATGAAGCCATTCCCGTTTGCAACGAAATCCTCAAAGCTATCCAAATATCCTCTTGCAGATTTTACAAAAAGAGTGTTTCAAAACTGCTCTATCAAAAGAAAGGTTCAACTCTGTTATTTGAGGGCACACATCACAAATAAACTTCTGAGAATGCTTCTGTCTAGTTTTTACAGGAAGATATTTCCTTTTTCACCATAGGCCAGAAAGCGCTCCAAATGTCCTCATCCAGATACTACAAAAAGAGTGTTTCCAACCTGCTCTATGAAAGGGAATGCTCAACTCTGTGACTTGAATGCAGACATCACAAAGAAGTTTCTGAGAATGCTGCTGTCTCCTTTTTATATGTAATCCCGTTTCCAACGAAATCCTCAAAGCTAGCCAAATATCCACTTGCAGATTCCACGAAAACAGTGTTTCAAAACTGCTCCTTCAAAACGATGGTTCAATTCTGTTAGTTGAGCAAACACATCACAAGTAAGTTTCTGAGAATGCTTCCGTCTAGTTTTTATGGGAAGATATTTCCTTTTTCAACATAGGCCTGAAAGCGCTCCAAATGTCCACTTCCAGATACTACAAAAAGAGTGTTTCAAATCTGCTCTATGAATGGGAATGTTCTACTCTGTGACTTGAATGCAACATCCCAAAGAAGTTTCTGAGAATGCTTCTGTCTAGAGTTTATCTGAAGACATACCCGTTTCCAACGAAATCCTCAAAGCTATCCAAATATCCTCTTGCAGATTCTACAAAAAGAGTGTTTCAAAGCTGCTCTTTGCAAAGAAAGGTTCAACTCTGTCAGTAGAGGGCACACATCATGAACAAGTTTCTGAGAATGCTTCTGTCTAGTTTTTATGGGAAGATATTTCCTTTTTCACGTTAGGCCTGAAAGCACGCCAAATGTTCACTTATAGACACTACAAAAAGAGTGTTTCAAACCTGCTCTGTGAAAGGGAATGTTCAACACTGTGACTTCAATTGAAACATCCCAAAGAAGTTTCTGAGAATGCTTCTGTCTAGAGTTTATCTGAAGACATACCCGTTTCCAACGAAATCCTCAAAGCTATCCACATATCCTCTTGCAGATTCTACAAAAAGAGTGTTTCAAAGCTGCTCTTTGCAAAGAAAGGTTCAACTCTGTCAGTAGAGGGCACACATCACGAACAAGTTTCTGAGAATGCTTCTGTCTAGTTTTTATGGGAAGATATTTCCTTTTTCACGTTAGGCCTGAAAGCACGCCAAATGTTCAATTATAGACACTACAAAAAGAGTGTTTCAAACCTGCTCTGTGAAAGGGAATGTTCAACACTGTGACTTCAATTGAAACATCCCAAAGAAGTTTCTGAGAATGCTTCTGTCTAGAGTTTATCTGAAGACATTCCCGTTTCCCAAGAAATCCTCAAAGCTATCCAAATATCCTCTTGCAGATTCTACAAAAAGAGTGTTTCAAAACTGGTCTTTGCAATGAAAGGTTCAACTCTGTCAGTAGAGGGCACACATCACAAACAAGTTTCTGAGAATGCTTCTGTCTAGTTTTTATGGGAAGATATTTCCCTTTTTCACCTTAGGCCTGAAAGCAATCCAAATGTTCACTTACAGACACTACAAAAAGAGTGTTTCAAACCTGCTCTGTGAAAGGGAGTGTTCAATTCTGTGACTTGAATGCAAACATCACAAAGTAGTTTCTGACAATGCTGCTGTCTGCTTTTTATACGTATTCCCGTTTCCAACGAAATCCTCCAAGCTGGCCTAATACCCACTTGCATATTCCACAAAAAGAGTGTTTCAAAACTGCTCTCTCAAAAGAAAGGTTCAACTCTGTTTGCTGAGTAGATACATCATGAAAAAAGTTCTGACATTGCTTCTATCTAGTTTTTATTGGAAGATATCTCCTTTTTCACCGTAGACCTGAAAGCGCTCCAAATGTCCACTTCCAGATAGTACAAAAAGAGTGTTTCAAACCTGCTCTATGAAAGGGAATGTTCAACACTGGGACTTCAATTGAAACATCCCAAAGCAGTTTCTGAGAATGCTTCTGTCCAGAGTTTACATGAAGACATTCCCGTTTCCAACGAAATCCTCAAAGCTATCCAAATATCCTCTTGCAGATTTTACAAAAAGTGTGTTTCAGAACTGCTCTATCAAAACAAAGGTTCAACACTGTCAGTTGAGGGCACACATCGCAAATAAGTTTCTGAGAATGCTTCTGTCTAGTTTTCATGGGAAGATATTTCCTTTTTCACCATAGGCCTGAAAGCGATCCAAATGTCCACATCCAGATACTACAAAAAGAGTGTTTCCAACCTGCTCTATGAAAGGGAATGTTCAACTCTGTGACTTGAATGCAAACATCACAAAGAAGTTTCTGAGAATGCTGCTGTCTGCTTTTTGTATGTAATCCCGTTTCCAACGAAATCCTCCCAGCTAGCCAAATATCCACTTGCAGATTCCGCAAAAAGAGTGTTTCAAAACTGCTCCTTCAAAACGATGGTTTAGTTCTGTTAGTTGAGTACATACATCACAGATAAGTTTCTGAGAATGCTTCTGTCTAGTTTTTATGGGAGGATATTTCCTTTTTCAACACAAGCCTGAATGCGCTCCGAATGGACACTTCCAGATATGACAAAAGGCGTGTTTCAAACCTGCTCTCTCAAAGGGAATGTTCAACTGCTGTGACTTCAATGCAAACATCACAAAGAAGTTTCTGAGAATGCTGCTGTCTGCTTTTTACATGTATTCCCGTTTCCAACGAAATCCTCAAAGCTGCCCTAATATCCACTTGCATATTCCACAAAAAGAGTGTTGCAAAACTGCTCTCTCAAAAGAAAGGTTCAACTCTGTTAGCTGAGTAGATCCATCACATAAAAGTTTCTGACATTGCTTCTATCTAGATTTTCTTGGAAGATATTTCCATTTTCACCGTCGTCCTGAAAGCGCTCCAAATGTCCACTTCCAGGGAATGCAGAAAGAGTGTTTCCAACCTGCTCTATAAAAGGGAATGTTCAACACTGGGACTTCAATCGAAACATCCCAACGAAGTTTCTGAGAATGCTTCTGTCTAGAGTTTATATGAAGCCATTCCCGTTTGCAACGAAATCCTCAAAGCTATCCAAATATCCTCTTGCAGATTTTACAAAAAGAGTGTTTCAAAACTGCTCTATCAAAAGAAAGGTTCAACTCTGTTAGTTGAGGGCACACATCACAAATAAACTTCTGAGAATGCTTCTGTCTAGTTTTTACGGGAAGATATTTCCTTTTTCACCATACGCCTGAAAGCGCTCCAAATGTCCTCATCCAGATACTACAAAAAGAGTGTTTCCAACCTGCTCTATGAAAGGGAATGCTCAACTCTGTGAAATGAATGCAGACATCACAAAGAAGTTTCTGAGAATGCTGCTGTCTCCTTTTTATATGTAATCCCGTTTCCAACGAAATCCTCAAAGCTAGCCAAATATCCACTTACAGATTCCACGAAAACAGTGTTTCAAAACTGCTCCTTCAAAACGATGGTTCAATCCTGTTAGTTGAGCAAACACATCACAAATAAGTTTCTGAGAATGCTTCCGTCTAGTTTTTATGGGAAGATATTTCCTTTTTCAACATAGGCCTGAAAGCGCTCCAAATGTCCACTTCCAGATACTACAAAAAGAGTGTTTCAAATCTGCTCTATGAATGGGAATGTTCTACTCTGTGACTTGAATGCAACATCCCAAAGAAGTTTCTGAGAATGCTTCTGTCTAGAGTTTATCTGAAGACATACCCGTTTCCAACGAAATCCTCAAAGCTATCCAAATATCCTCTTGCAGATTCTACAAAAAGTGTGTTTCAAAGCTGCTCTTTGCAAAGAAAGGTTCAACTCTGTCAGTAGAGGGCACACATCACGAACAAGTTTCTGAGAATGCTTCTGTCTAGTTTTTATGGGAAGATATTTCCTTTTTCACGTTAGGCCTGAAAGCACGCCAAATGTTCACTTATAGACACTACAAAAAGAGTGTTTCAAACCTGCTCTGTGAAAGGGAATGTTCAACACTGTGACTTCAATTGAAACATCCCAAAGAAGTTTCTGAGAATGCTTCTGTCTAGAGTTTATCTGAAGACATTCCCGTTTCCCAAGAAATCCTCAAAGCTATCCAAATATCCTCTTGCAGATTCTACAAAAAGAGTGTTTCAAAACTGCTCTTTGCAAAGAAAGGTTCAACTCTGTCAGTAGAGGGCACACATCACAAACAAGTTTCTGAGAATGCTTCTGTCTAGTTTTTATGGGAAGATATTTCCTTTTTCACCTTAGGCCTGAAAGCAATCCAAATGTTCACTTACAGACACTACAAAAAGAGTGTTTCAAACCTGCTCTGTGAAAGGGAGTGTTCAATTCTGTGACTTGAATGCAAACATCACAAAGTAGTTTCTGACAATGGCTGTCTGCTTTTTATACGTATTCCCGTTTCCAACGAAATCCTCCAAGCTGGCCTAATACCCACTTGCATATTACACAAAAAGAGTGTTTCAAAACTGCTCTCTCAAAAGAAAGGTTCAACTCTGTTTGCTGAGTAGATACATCATGAAAAAAGTTCTGACATTGCTTCTATCTAGTTTTTATTGGAAGATATCTCCTTTTTCACCGTAGACCTGAAAGCGCTCCAAATGTCCACTTCCAGATACTACAAAAAGAGTGTTTCAAACCTGCTCTATGAAAGGGAATGTTCAACACTGGGACTTCAATTGAAACATCCCAAAGCAGTTTCTGAGAATGCTTCTGTCTAGAGTTTATATGAAGACATTCCCGTTTCCAACGAAATGCTCAAAGCTATCCAAATTTCCTCATGCAGATTTTACCAAAAGTGTGTTTCAGAACTGCTCTATCAAAACAAAGGTTCAACACTGTCAGTTGAGGGCACACATCACACATAAGTTTCTAAGAATGCTTCTGTCTAGTTTTCATGGGAAGATATTTCCTTTTTCACCATAGGCCTGAAAGCGATCCAAATGTCCACATCCAGATACTACAAAAAGAGTGTTTCCAACCTGCTCTATGAAAGGGAATGCTCAACTCTGTGAATTGAATGCAGACATCACAAAGAAGTTTCTCAGAATGCTGCTGTCTCCTTTTTATATGTAATCCCGTTTCCAACGAAATCCTCAAAGCTAGCCAAATATCCACTTGCAGATTCCACGAAAACAGTGTTTCAAAACTGCTCCTTCAAAACGATGGTTCAATCCTGTTAGTTGAGCAAACACATCACAAATAAGTTTCTGAGAATGCTTCCGTCTAGTTTTTATGGGAAGATATTTCCTTTTTCAACATAGGCCTGAAAGCGCTCCAAATGTCCACTTCCAGATACTACAAAAAGAGTGTTTCAAATCTGCTCTATGAATGGGAATGTTCTACTCTGTGACTTGCATGCAACATCCCAAAGAAGTTTCTGAGAATGCTTCTGTCTAGAGTTTATCTGAAGACATAACCGTTTCCAACGAAATCCTCAAAGCTATCCAAATATCCTCTTGCAGATTCTACAAAAAGTGTGTTTCAAAGCTGCTCTTTGCAAAGAAAGGTTCAACTCTGTCAGTAGAGGGCACACATCACGAACAAGTTTCTGAGAATGCTTCCGTCTAGTTTTTATGGGAAGATATTTCCTTTTTCACGTTAGGCCTGAAAGCACGCCAAATGTTCACTTATAGACACTACAAAAAGAGTGTTTCAAACCTGCTCTGTGAAAGGGAATGTTCAACACTGTGACTTCAATTGAAACATCCCAAAGAAGTTTCTGAGAATGCTTCTGTCTAGAGTTTATCTGAAGACATTCCCGTTTCCCAAGAAATCCTCAAAGCTATCCAAATATCCTCTTGCAGATTCTACAAAAAGAGTGTTTCAAAACTGCTCTTTGCAAAGAAAGGTTCAACTCTGTCAGTAGAGGGCACACATCACAAACAAGTTTCTGAGAATGCTTCTGTCTAGTTTTTATGGGAAGATATTTCCTTTTTCACCTTAGGCCTGAAAGCAATCCAAATGTTCACTTACAGACACTACAAAAAGAGTGTTTCAAACCTGCTCTGTGAAAGGGAGTGTTCAATTCTGTGACTTGAATGCAAACATCACAAAGTAGTTTCTGACAATGCTGCTGTCTGCTTTTTATACGTATTCCCGTTTCCAACGAAATCCTCCAAGCTGGCCTAATACCCACTTGCATATTCCACAAAAAGAGTGTTTCAAAACTGCTCTCTCAAAAGAAAGGTTCAACTCTGTTTGCTGAGTAGATACATCATGAAAAAAGTTCTGACATTGCTTCTATCTAGTTTTTATTGGAAGATATCTCCTTTTTCACCGTAGACCTGAAAGCGCTCCAAATGTCCACTTCCAGATAGTACAAAAAGAGTGTTTCAAACCTGCTCTATGAATGGGAATGTTCAACACTGGGACTTCAATTGAAACATCCCAAAGCAGTTTCTGAGAATGCTTCTGTGTAGAGTTTACATGAAGACATTCCCGTTTCCAACGAAATCCTCAAAGCTATCCAAATATCCTCTTGCAGATTTTACAAAAAGTGTGTTTCAGAACTGCTCTATCAAAACAAAGGTTCAACACTGTCAGTTGAGGGCACACATCACAAATAAGTTTCTGAGAATGCTGCTGTCTGCTTTTTGTATGTAATCCCGTTTCCAACGAAATCCTCCCAGCTAGCCAAATATCCACTTGCAGATTCCGCAAAAAGAGTGTTTCAAAACTGCTCCTTCAAAACGATGGTTTAGTTCTGTTAGTTGAGTACATACATCAGAGATAAGTTTCTGAGAATGCTTCTGTCTAGTTTTTATGGGAGGATATTTCCTTTTTCAACACAAGCCTGAATGCGCTCCGAATGGACACTTCCAGATATGACAAAAGGCGTGTTTCAAACCTGCTCTCTCAAAGGGAATGTTCAACTCTGTGACTTCAATGCAAACATCACAAAGAAGTTTCTGAGAATGCTGCTGTCTGCTTTTTACATGTATTCCCGTTTCCAACGAAATCCTCAAAGCTGCCCTAATATCCACTTGCATATTCCACAAAAAGAGTGTTGCAAAACTGCTCTCTCAAAAGAAAGGTTCAACTCTGTTAGCTGAGTAGATCCATCACATAAAAGTTTCTGACATTGCTTCTATCTAGATTTTCTTGGAAGATATTTCCATTTTCACCGTCGTCCTGAAAGCGCTCCAAATGTCCACTTCCAGGGAATGCAGAAAGAGTGTTTCCAACCTGCTCTATAAAAGGGAATGTTCAACACTGGGACTTCAATCGAAACATCCCAACGAAGTTTCTGAGAATGCTTCTGTCTAGAGTTTATATGAAGCCATTCCCGTTTGCAACGAAATCCTCAAAGCTATCCAAATATCCTCTTGCAGATTTTACAAAAAGAGTGTTTCAAAACTGCTCTATCAAAAGAAAGGTTCAACTCTGTTAGTTGAGGGCACACATCACAAATAAACTTCTGAGAATGCTTCTGTCTAGTTTTTACGGGAAGATATTTCCTTTTTCACCATACGCCTGAAAGCGCTCCAAATGTCCTCATCCAGATACTACAAAAAGAGTGTTTCCAACCTGCTCTATGAAAGGGAATGCTCAACTCTGTGAATTGAATGCAGACATCACAAAGAAGTTTCTGAGAATGCTGCTGTCTCCTTTGTATATGTAATCCCGTTTCCAACGAAATCCTCAAAGCTAGCCAAATATCCACTTGCAGATTCCACGAAAACAGTGTTTCAAAACTGCTCCTTCAAAACGATGGTTCAATCCTGTTAGTTGAGCAAACACATCACAAATAAGTTTCTGAGAATGCTTCCGTCTAGTTTTTATGGGAAGATATTTCCTTTTTCAACATAGGCCTGAAAGCGCTCCAAATGTCCACTTCCAGATACTACAAAAAGAGTGTTTCAAATCTGCTCTATGAATGGGAATGTTGTACTCTGTGACTTGAATGCAACATCCCAAAGAAGTTTCTGAGAATGCTTCTGTCTAGAGTTTATCTGAAGACATACCCGTTTCCAACGAAATCCTCAAAGCTATCCAAATATCCTCTTGCTGATTCTACAAAAAGTGTGTTTCAAAGCTGCTCTTTGCAAAGAAAGGTTCAACTCTGTCAGTAGAGGGGCACACATCACGAACAAGTTTCTGAGAATGCTTCTGTCTAGTTTTTATGGGAACATATTTCCTTTTTCACGTTAGGCCTGAAAGCACGCCAAATGTTCACTTATAGACACTACAAAAAGAGTGTTGCAAACCTGCTCTGTGAAAGGGAATGTTCAACACTGTGACTTCAATTGAAACATCCCAAAGAAGTTTCTGAGAATGCTTCTGTCTAGAGTTTATCTGAAGACATTCCCGTTTCCCAAGAAATCCTCAAAGCTATCCAAATATCCTCTTGCAGATTCTACAAAAAGAGTGTTTCAAAACTGGTCTTTGCAAAGAAAGGTTCAACTCTGTCAGTAGAGGGCACACATCACAAACAAGATTCTGAGAATGCTTCTGTCTAGTTTTTATGGGAAGATATTTCCTTTTTCACCTTAGGCCTGAAAGCAATCCAAATGTTCACTTACAGACACTACAAAAAGAGTGTTTCAAACCTGCTCTGTGAAAGGGAGTGTTCAATTCTGTGACTTGAATGCAAACATCACAAAGTAGTTTCTGACAATGCTGCTGTCTGCTTTTTATACGTATTCCCGTTTCCAACGAAATCCTCCAAGCTGGCCTAATACCCACTTGCATATTCCACAAAAAGAGTGTTTCAAAACTGCTCTCTCAAAAGAAAGGTTCAACTCTGTTTGCTGAGTAGATACATCATGAAAAAAGTTCTGACATTGCTTCTATCTAGTTTTTATTGGAAGATATCTCCTTTTTTCACCGTAGACCTGAAAGCGCTCCAAATGTCCACTTCCAGATAGTACAAAAAGAGTGTTTCAAACCTGCTCTATGAAAGGGAATGTTCAACACTGGGACTTCAATTGAAACATCCCAAAGCAGTTTACTGAGAATGCTTCTGTCTAGAGTTTATATGAAGCCATTCCCGTTTGCAACGAAATCCTCAAAGCTATCCAAATATCCTCTTGCAGATTTTACAAAAAGAGTGTTTCAAAACTGCTCTATCAAAAGAAAGGTTCAACTCTGTTATTTGAGGGCACACATCACAAATAAACTTCTGAGAATGCTTCTGTCTAGTTTTTACGGGAAGATATTTCCTTTTTCACCATAGGCCTGAAAGCGCTCCAAATGTCCTCATCCAGATACTACAAAAAGAGTGTTTCCAACCTGCTCTATGAAAGGGAATGCTCAACTCTGATAATTGAATGCAGACATCACAAAGAAGTTTCTGAGAATGCTGCTGTCTCCTTTTTATATGTAATCCCGTTTCCAACGAAATCCTCAAAGCTAGCCAAATATCCACTTGCAGATTCCATGAAAACAGTGTTTCAAAACTGCTCCTTCAAAACGATGGTTCAATCCTGTTAGTTGAGCAAGCACATCACAAATAAGTTTCTGAGAATGCTTCCGTCTAGTTTTTATGGGAAGATATTTCCTTTTTCAACATAGGCCTGAAAGCGCTCCAAATGTCCACTTCCAGATACTACAAAAAGAGTGTTTCAAATCTGCTCTATGAATGGGAATGTTCTACTCTGTGACTTGAATGCAACATCCCAAAGAAGTTTCTGAGAATGCTTCTGTCTATAGTTTATCTGAAGACATACCCGTTTCCAACGAAATCCTCCAAGCTATCCAAATATCCTCTTGCAGATTCTACAAAAAGAGTGTTTCAAAGCTGCTCTTTGCAAAGAAAGGTTCAACTCTGTCAGTAGAGGGCACACATCACGAACAAGTTTCTGAGAATGCTTCTGTCTAGTTTTTATGGGAAGATATTTCCTTTTTCACGTTAGGCCTGAAAGCACGCCAAATGTTCACTTATAGACACTACAAAAAGAGTGTTTCAAACCTGCTCTGTGAAAGGGAATGTTCAACACTGTGACTTCAATTGAAACATCCCAAAGAAGTTTCTGAGAATGCTTCTGTCTAGAGTTTATCTGAAGACATTCCCGTTTCCCAAGAAATCCTCAAAGCTATCCAAATATCCTCTTGCAGATTCTACAAAAAGAGTGTTTCAAAACTGCTCTTTGCAAAGAAAGGTTCAACTCTGTCAGTAGAGGGCACACATCACAAACAAGTTTCTGAGAATGCTTCTGTCTAGTTTTTATGGGAAGATATTTCCTTTTTCACCTTAGGCCTGAAAGCAATCCATATGTTCACTTACAGACACTACAAAAAGAGTGTTTCAAACCTGCTCTGTGAAAGGGAGTGTTCAATTCTGTGACTTGAATGCAAACATCACAAAGTAGTTTCTGACAATGCTGCTGTCTGCTTTTTATACGTATTCCCGTTTCCAACGAAATCCTCCTAGCTGGCCTAATACCCACTTGCATATTCCACAAAAAGAGTGTTTCAAAACTGCTCTCTCAAAAGAAAGGTTCAACTCTGTTTGCTGAGTAGATACATCATGTAAAAAGTTCTGACATTGCTTCTATCTAGTTTTTATTGGAAGATATCTCCTTTTTCACCGTAGACCTGAAAGCGCTCCAAATGTCCACTTCCAGATAGTACAAAAAGAGTGTTTCAAACCTGCTCTATGAATGGGAATGTTCAACACTGGGACTTCAATTGAAACATCCCAAAGCAGTTTCTGAGAATGCTTCTGTCTAGAGTTTACATGAAGACATTCCCGTTTCCAACGAAATCCTCAAAGCTATCCAAATATCCTCTTGCAGATTTTACAAAAAGTGTGTTTCAGAACTGCTCTATCAAAACAAAGGTTCAACACTGTCAGTTGAGGGCACACATCACAAATAAGTTTCTGAGAATGCTTCTGTCTAGTTTTCATGGGAAGATATTTCCTTTTTCACCATAGGCCTGAAAGCGATCCAAATGTCCACATCCAGATACTACAAAAAGAGTGTTTCAAACCTGCTCTATGAAAGGGAATGTTCAACTCTGTGACTTGAATGCAAACATCACAAAGAAGTTTCTGAGAATGCTGCTGTCTGCTTTTTGTATGTAATCCCGTTTCCAACGAAATCCTCCCAGCTAGCCAAATATCCACTTGCAGATTCCGCAAAAAGAGTGTTTCAAAACTGCTCCTTCAAAACGATGGTTTAGTTCTGTTAGTTGAGTACATACATCACAGATAAGTTTCTGAGAATGCTTCTGTCTAGTTTTTATGGGAGGATATTTCCTTTTTCAACACAAGCCTGAATGCGCTCCGAATGGACACTTCCAGATATGACAAAAGGCGTGTTTCAAACCTGCTCTCTCAAAGGGAATGTTCAACTCTGTGACTTCAATGCAAACATCACAAAGAAGTTTCTGAGAATGCTGCTGTCTGCTTTTTACATGTATTCCCGTTTCCAACGAAATCCTCAAAGCTGCCCTAATATCCACTTGCATATTCCACAAAAAGTGTGTTGCAAAACTGCTCTCTCAAAAGAAAGGTTCAACTCTGTTAGCTGAGTAGATCCATCACATAAAAGTTTCTGACGTTGCTTCTATCTAGATTTTCTTGGAAGATATTTCCATTTTCACCGTCGTCCTGAAAGCGCTCCAAATGTCCACTTCCAGGGAATGCAGAAAGAGTGTTTCCAACCTGCTCTATAAAAGGGAATGTTCAACACTGGGACTTCAATCGAAACATCCCAACGAAGTTTCTGAGAATGCTTCTGTCTAGAGTTTATATGAAGCCATTCCCGTTTGCAATGAAATCCTCAAAGCTATCCAAATATCCTCTTGCAGATTTTACAAAAAGAGTGTTTCAAAACTGCTCTATCAAAAGAAAGGTTCAACTCTGTTAGTTGAGGGCACACATCACAAATAAATTTCTGAGAATGCTTCTGTCTAGTTTTTACGGGAAGATATTTCCTTTTTCACCATACGCCTGAAAGCGCTCCAAATGTCCTCATCCAGATACTACAAAAAGAGTGTTTCCAACCTTCTCTATGAAAGGGAATGCTCAACTCTGTGACTTGAATGCAGACATCACAAAGAAGTTTCTGAGAATGCTGCTGTCTCCTTTTTATATGTAATCCCGTTTCCAACGAAATCCTCAAAGCTAGCCAAATATCCACTTGCAGATTCCACGAAAACAGTGTTTCAAAACTACTCCTTCAAAACGATGGTTCAATTCTGTTAGTTGAGCAAACACATCACAAGTAAGTTTCTGAGAATGCTTCCGTCTAGTTTTTATGGGAAGATATTTCCTTTTTCAACATAGGCCTGAAAGCGCTCCAAATGTCCACTTCCAGATACTACAAAAAGAGTGTTTCAAATCTGCTCTATGAATGGGAATGTTCTACTCTGTGACTTGAATGCAACATCCCAAAGAAGTTTCTGAGAATGCTTCTGTCTAGAGTTTATCTGAAGACATACCCGTTTCCAACGAAATCCTCAAAGCTATCCAAATATCCTCTTGCAGATTCTACAAAAAGAGTGTTTCAAAGCTGCTCTTTGCAAAGAAAGGTTCAACTCTGTCAGTAGAGGGCACACATCATGAATAAGTTTCTGAGAATGCTTCTGTCTAGTTTTTATGGGAAGATATTTCCTTTTTCACGTTAGGCCTGAAAGCACGCCAAATGTTCACTTATAGACACTACAAAAAGAGTGTTTCAAACCTGCTCTGTGAAAGGGAATGTTCAACACTGTGACTTCAATTGAAACATCCCAAAGAAGTTTCTGAGAATGCTTCTGTCTAGAGTTTATCTGAAGACATTCCCGTTTCCCAAGAAATCCTCAAAGCTATCCAAATATCCTCTTGCAGATTCTACAAAAAGAGTGTTTCAAAACTGCTCTTTGCAAAGAAAGGTTCAACTCTGTCAGTAGAGGGCACACATCACAAACAAGTTTCTGAGAATGCTTCTGTCTAGTTTTTATGGGAAGATATTTCCTTTTTCACCTTAGGCCTGAAAGCAATCCAAATGTTCACTTACAGACACTACAAAAAGAGTGTTTCAAACCTGCTCTGTGAAAGGGAGTGTTCAATTCTGTGACTTGAATGCAAACATCACAAAGTAGTTTCTGACAATGCTGCTGTCTGCTTTTTATACGTATTCCCGTTTCCAACGAAATCCTCCAAGCTGGCCAAATACCCACTTGCATATTCCACAGAAAGAGTGTTTCGAAACTGCTCTCTCAAAAGAAAGGTTCAACTCTGTTTGCTGAGTAGATACATCATGAAAAAAGTTCTGACATTGCTTCTATCTAGTTTTTATTGGAAGATATCTCCTTTTTCACCGTAGACCTGAAAGCGCTCCAAATGTCCACTTCCAGATAGTACAAAAAGAGTGTTTCAAACCTGCTCTATGAAAGGGAATGTTCAACACTGGAACTTCAATTGAAACATCCCAAAGCAGTTTCTGAGAATGCTTCTGTCTAGAGTTTACATGAAGACATTCCCGTTTCCAACGAAATCCTCAAAGCTATCCAAATATCCTCTTGCAGATTTTACAAAAAGTGTGTTTCAGAACTGCTCTATCAAAACAAAGGTTCAACACTGTCAGTTGAGGGCACACATCACAAATAAGTTTCTGAGAATGCTTCTGTCTAGTTTTCATGGGAAGATATTTCCTTTTTCACCATAGGCCTGAAAGCGATCCAAATGTCCACATCCAGATACTACAAAAAGAGTGTTTCAAACCTGCTCTATGAAAGGGAATGTTCAACTCTGTGACTTGAATGCAAACATCACAAAGAAGTTTCTGAGAATGCTGCTGTCTGCTTTTTGTATGTAATCCCGTTTCCAACGAAATCCTCCCAGCTAGCCAAATATCCACTTGCAGATTCCGCAAAAAGAGTGTTTCAAAACTGCTCCTTCAAAACGATGGTTTAGTTCTGTTAGTTGAGTACATACATCACAGATAAGTTTCTGAGAATGCTTCTGTCTAGTTTTTATGGGAGGATATTTCCTTTTTCAACACAAGCCTGAATGCGCTCCGAATGGACACTTCCAGATATGACAAAAGGCGTGTTTCAAACCTGCTCTCTCAAAGGGAATGTTCAACTCTGTGACTTCAATGCAAACATCACAAAGAAGTTTCTGAGAATGCTGCTGTCTGCTTTTTACATGTATTCCCGTTTCCAACGAAATCCTCAAAGCTGCCCTAATATCCACTTGCATATTCCACAAAAAGAGTGTTGCAAAACTGCTCTCTCAAAAGAAAGGTTCAACTCTGTTAGCTGAGTAGATCCATCACATAAAAGTTTCTGACATTGCTTCTATCTAGATTTTCTTGGAAGATATTTCCATTTTCACCGTCGTCCTGAAAGCGCTCCAAATGTCCACTTCCAGGGAATGCAGAAAGAGTGTTTCCAACCTGCTCTATAAAAGGGAATGTTCAACACTGGGACTTCAATCGAAACATCCCAACGAAGTTTCTGAGAATGCTTCTGTCTAGAGTTTATATGAAGCCATTCCCGTTTGCAACGAAATCCTCAAAGCTATCCAAATATCCTCTTGCAGATTTTACAAAAAGAGTGTTTCAAAACTGCTCTATCAAAAGAAAGGTTCAACTCTGTTAGTTGAGGGCACACATCACAAATAAACTTCTGAGAATGCTTCTGTCTAGTTTTTACGGGAAGATATTTCCTTTTTCACCATACGCCGGAAAGCGCTCCAAATGTCCTCATCCAGATACTACAAAAAGAGTGTTTCCAACCTGCTCTATGAAAGGGAATGCTCAACTCTGTGAATTGAATGCAGACATCACAAAGAAGTTTCTGAGAATGCTGCTGTCTCCTTTTTATATGTAATCCCGTTTCCAACGAAATCCTCAAAGCTAGCCAAATATCCACTTGCAGATTCCACGAAAACAGTGTTTCAAAACTGCTCCTTCAAAACGATGGTTCAATCCTGTTAGTTGAGCAAACACATCACAATTAAGTTTCTGAGAATGCTTTCCGTCTACTTTTTATGGGAAGATATTTCCTTTTTCAACATAGGCCTGAAAGCGCTCCAAATGTCCACTTCCAGATACTACAAAAAGAGTGTTTCAAATCTGCTCTATGAATGGGAATGTTCTACTCTGTGACTTGAATGCAACATCCCAAAGAAGTTTCTGAGAATGCTTCTGTCTAGAGTTTATCTGAAGACATACCCGTTTCCAACGAAATCCTCAAAGCTATCCAAATATCCTCTTGCAGATTCTACAAAAAGAGTGTTTCAAAGCTGCTCTTTGCAAAGAAAGGTTCAACTCTGTCAGTAGAGGGCACACATCATGAACAAGTTTCTGAGAATGCTTCTGTCTAGTTTTTATGGGAAGATATTTCCTTTTTCACGTTAGGCCTGAAAGCACGCCAAATGTTCACTTATAGACACTACAAAAAGAGTGTTTCAAACCTGCTCTGTGAAAGGGAATGTTCAACACTGTGACTTCAATTGAAACATCCCAAAGAAGTTTCTGAGAATGCTTCTGTCTAGAGTTTATCTGAAGACATTCCCGTTTCCCAAGAAATCCTCAAAGCTATCCAAATATCCTCTTGCAGATTCTACAAAAAGAGTGTTTCAAAACTGCTCTTTGCAAAGAAAGGTTCAACTCTGTCAGTAGAGGGCACACATCACAAACAAGTTTCTGAGAATGCTTCTGTCTAGTTTTTATGGGAAGATATTTCCTTTTTCACCTTAGGCCTGAAAGCAATCCAAATGTTCACTTACAGACACTACAAAAAGAGTGTTTCAAACCTGCTCTGTGAAAGGGAGTGTTCAATTCTGTGACTTGAATGCAAACATCACAAAGTAGTTTCTGACAATGCTGCTGTCTGCTTTTTATACGTATTCCCGTTTCCAACGAAATCCTCCAAGCTGGCCTAATACCCACTTGCATATTCCACAAAAAGAGTGTTTCAAAACTGCTCTCTCAAAAGAAAGGTTCAACTCTGTTTGCTGAGTAGATACATCATGAAAAAAGTTCTGACATTGCTTCTATCTAGTTTTTATTGGAAGATATCTCCTTTTTCACCGTAGACCTGAAAGCGCTCCAAATGTCCACTTCCAGATACTACAAAAAGAGTGTTTCAAACCTGCTCTATGAAAGGGAATGTTCAACACTGGGACTTCAATTGAAACATCCCAAAGCAGTTTCTGAGAATGCTTCTGTCTAGAGTTTACATGAAGACATTCCCGTTTCCAACGAAATCCTCAAAGCTATCCAAATATCCTCTTGCAGATTTTACAAAAAGTGTGTTTCAGAACTGCTCTATCAAAACAAAGGTTCAACACTGTCAGTTGAGGGCACACATCACAAATAAGTTTCTGAGAATGCTTCTGTCTAGTTTTCATGGGAAGATATTTCCTTTTTCACCATAGGCCTGAAAGCATCCAAATGTCCACATCCAGATACTACAAAAAGAGTGTTTCAAACCTGCTCTATGAAAGGGAATGTTCAACTCTGTGACTTGAATGCAAACATCACAAAGAAGTTTCTGAGAATGCTGCTGTCTGCTTTTTCTATGTAATCCCGTTTCCAACGAAATCCTCCCAGCTAGCCAAATATCCACTTGCAGATTCCGCAAAAAGAGTGTTTCAAAACTGCTCCTTCAAAACGATGGTTTAGTTCTGTTAGTTGAGTACATACATCACAGATAAGTTTCTGAGAATGCTTCTGTCTAGTTTTTATGGGAGGATATTTCCTTTTTCAACACAAGCCTGAATGCGCTCCGAATGGACACTTCCAGATATGACAAAAGGCGTGTTTCAAACCTGCTCTCTCAAAGGGAATGTTCAACTCTGTGACTTCAATGCAAACATCACAAAGAAGTTTCTGAGAATGCTGCTGTCTGCTTTTTACATGTATTCCCGTTTCCAACGAAATCCTCAAAGCTGCCCTAATATCCACTTGCATATTCCACAAAAAGAGTGTTGCAAAACTGCTCTCTCAAAAGAAAGGTTCAACTCTGTTAGCTGAGTAGATCCATCACAGAAAAGTTTCTGACGTTGCTTCTATCTAGATTTTCTTGGAAGATATTTCCATTTTCACCGTCGTCCTGAAAGCGCTCCAAATGTCCACTTCCAGGGAATGCAGAAAGAGTGTTTCCAACCTGCTCTATAAAAGGGAATGTTCAACACTGGGACTTCAATCGAAACATCCCAACGAAGTTTCTGAGAATGCTTCTGTCTAGAGTTTATATGAAGCCATTCCCGTTTGCAACGAAATCCTCAAAGCTATCCAAATATCCTCTTGCAGATTTTACAAAAAGAGTGTTTCAAAACTGCTCTATCAAAAGAAAGGTTCAACTCTGTTAGTTGAGGGCACACATCACAAATAAATTTCTGAGAATGCTTCTGTCTAGTTTTTACGGGAAGATATTTCCTTTTTCACCATACGCCTGAAAGCGCTCCAAATGTCCTCATCCAGATACTACAAAAAGAGTGTTTCCAACCTGCTCTATGAAAGGGAATGCTCAACTCTGTGACTTGAATGCAGACATCACAAAGAAGTTTGCTGAGAATGCTGCTGACTCCTTTTTATATGTAATCCCGTTTCCAACGAAATCCTCAAAGCTAGCCAAATATCCACTTGCAGATTCCACGAAAACAGTGTTTCAAAACTGCTCCTTCAAAACGATGGTTCAATTCTGTTAGTTGAGCAAACACATCACACGTAAGTTTCTGAGAATGCTTCCGTCTAGTTTTTATGGGAAGATATTTCCTTTTTCAACATAGGCCTGAAAGCGCTCCAAATGTCCACTTCCAGATACTACAAAAAGAGTGTTTCAAATCTGCTCTATGAATGGGAATGTTCTACTCTGTGACTTGAATGCAACATCCCAAAGAAGTTTCTGAGAATGCTTCTGTCTAGAGTTTATCTGAAGACATACCCGTTTCCAACGAAATCCTCCAAGCTATCCAAATATCCTCTTGCAGATTCTACAAAAAGAGTGTTTCAAAGCTGCTCTTTGCAAAGAAAGGTTCAACTCTGTCAGTAGAGGGCACACATCACGAACAAGTTTCTGAGAATGCTTCTGTCTAGTTTTTATGGGAAGATATTTCCTTTTTCACGTTACGCCTGAAAGCACGCCAAATGTTCACTTATAGACACTACAAAAAGAGTGTTTCAAACCTGCTCTGTGAAAGGGAATGTTCAACACTGTGACTTCAATTGAAACATCCCAAAGAAGTTTCTGAGAATGCTTCTGTCTAGAGTTTATCTGAAGACATTCCCGTTTCCCAAGAAATCCTCAAAGCTATCCAAATATCCTCTTGCAGATTCTACAAAAAGAGTGTTTCAAAACTGCTCTTTGCAAAGAAAGGTTCAACTCTGTCAGTAGAGGGCACACATCACAAACAAGTTTCTGAGAATGCTTCTGTCTAGTTTTTATGGGAAGACATTTCCTTTTTCACCTTAGGCCTGAAAGCAATCCAAATGTTCACTTACAGACACTACAAAAAGAGTGTTTCAAACCTGCTCTGTGAAAGGGAGTGTTCAGTTCTGTGACTTGAATGTAAACATCACAAAGTAGTTTCTGACAATGCTGCTGTCTGCTTTTTATACGTATTCCCGTTTCCAACGAAATCCTCCAAGCTGGCCTAATAACCACTTGCATATTCCACAAAAAGAGTGTTTCAAAACTGCTCTCTCAAAAGAAAGGTTCAACTCTGTTTGCTGAGTAGATACATCATGAAAAAAGTTCTGACATTGCTTCTATCTAGTTTTTATTGGAAGATATCTCCTTTTTCACCGTAGACCTGAAAGCGCTCCAAATGTCCACTTCCAGATAGTACAAAAAGAGTGTTTCAAACCTGCTCTATGAAAGGGAATGTTCAACACTGGGACTTCAATTGAAACATCCCAAAGCAGTTTCTGAGAATGCTTCTGTCTAGAGTTTACATGAAGACATTCCCGTTTCAACGAAATCCTCAAAGCTATCCAAATATCCTCTTGCAGATTTTACAAAAAGTGTGTTTCAGAACTGCTCTATCAAAACAAAGGTTCAACACTGTCAGTTGAGGGCACACATCACAAATAAGTTTCTGAGAATGCTTCTGTCTAGTTTTCATGGGAAGATATTTCCTTTTTCACCATAGGCCTGAAAGCGATCCAAATGTCCACATCCAGATACTACAAAAAGAGTGTTTCAAACCTGCTCTATGAAAGGGAATGTTCAACTCTGTGACTTGAATGCAAACATCACAAAGAAGTTTCTGAGAATGCTGCTGTCTGCTTTTTGTATGTAATCCAGTTTCCAACGAAATCCTCCCAGCTAGCCAAATATCCACTTGCAGATTCCGCAAAAAGAGTGTTTCAAAACTGCTCCTTCAAAACGATGGTTTAGTTCTGTTAGTTGAGTACATACATCACAGATAAGTTTCTGAGAATGCTTCTGTCTAGTTTTTCTGGGAGGATATTTCCTTTTTCAACACAAGCCTGAATGCGCTCCGAATGGACACTTCCAGATATGACAAAAGGCGTGTTTCAAACCTGCTCTCTCAAAGGGAATGTTCAACTCTGTGACTTCAATGCAAACATCACAAAGAAGTTTCTGAGAATGCTGCTGTCTGCTTTTTACATGTATTCCCGTTTCCAACGAAATCCTCAAAGCTGCCCTAATATCCACTTGCATATTCCACAAAAAGAGTGTTGCAAAACTGCTCTCTCAAAAGAAAGGTTCAACTCTGTTAGCTGAGTAGATCCATCACAGAAAAGTTTCTGACGTTGCTTCTATCTAGATTTTCTTGGAAGATATTTTCATTTTCACCGTCGTCCTGAAAGCGCTCCAAATGTCCACTTCCAGGGAATGCAGAAAGAGTGTTTCCAACCTGCTCTATAAAAGGGAATGTTCAACACTGGGACTTCAATCGAAACATCCCAACGAAGTTTCTGAGAATGCTTCTGTCTAGAGTTTATATGAAGCCATTCCCGTTTGCAACGAAATCCTCAAAGCTATCCAAATATCCTCTTGCAGATTTTACAAAAAGAGTGTTTCAAAACTGCTCTATCAAAAGAAAGGTTCAACTCTGTTAGTTGAGGGCACACATCACAAATAAACTTCTGAGAATGCTTCTGTCTAGTTTTTACGGGAAGATATTTCCTTTTTCACCATACGCCTGAAAGCGCTCCAAATGTCCTCATCCAGATACTACAAAAAGAGTGTTTCCAACCTGCTCTATGAAAGGGAATGCTCAACTCTGTGACTTGAATGCAGACATCACAAAGAAGTTTCTGAGAATGCTGCTGTCTCCTTTTTATATGTAATCCCGTTTCCAACGAAATCCTCAAAGCTAGCCAAATATCCACTTGCAGATTCCACGAAAACAGTGTTTCAAAACTGCTCCTTCAAAACGATGGTTCAATCCTGTTAGTTGAGCAAACACATCACAAATAAGTTTCTGAGAATGCTTCCGTCTAGTTTTTATGGGAAGATATTTCCTTTTTCAACATAGGCCTGAAAGCGCTCCAAATGTCCACTTCCAGATACTACAAAAAGAGTGTTTCAAATCTGCTCTATGAATGGGAATGTTCTACTCTGTGACTTGAATGCAACATCCCAAAGAAGTTTCTGAGAATGCTTCTGTCTAGAGTTTATCTGAAGACATACCCGTTTCCAACGAAATCCTCCAAGCTATCCAAATATCCTCTTGCAGATTCTACAAAAAGAGTGTTTCAAAGCTGCTCTTTGCAAAGAAAGGTTCAACTCTGTCAGTAGAGGGGACACATCAAGAACAAGTTTCTGAGAATGCTTCTGTCTGGTTTTTATGGGAAGATATTTCCTTTTTCACGTTACGCCTGAAAGCACGCCAAATGTTCACTTATAGACACTACAAAAAGAGTGTTTCAAACCTGCTCTGTGAAAGGGAATGTTCAACACTGTGACTTCAATTGAAACATCCCAAAGAAGTTTCTGAGAATGCTTCTGTCTAGAGTTTATCTGAAGACATTCCCGTTTCCCAAGAAATCCTCAAAGCTATCCAAATATCCTCTTGCAGATTCTACAAAAAGAGTGTTTCAAAACTGCTCTTTGCAAAGAAAGGTTCAACTCTGTCAGTAGAGGGCACACATCACAAACAAGTTTCTGAGAATGCTTCTGTCTAGTTTTTATGGGAAGATATTTCCTTTTTCACCTTAGGCCTGAAAGCAATCCAAATGTTCACTTACAGACACTACAAAAAGAGTGTTTCAAACCTGCTCTGTGAAAGGGAGTGTTCAATTCTGTGACTTGAATGCAAACATCACAAAGTAGTTTCTGACAATGCTGCTGTCTGCTTTTTATACGTATTCCCGTTTCCAACGAAATCCTCCAAGCTGGCCTAATACCCACTTGCATATTCCACAAAAAGAGTGTTTCAAAACTGCTCTCTCAAAAGAAAGGTTCAACTCTGTTTGCTGAGTAGATACATCATGAAAAAAGTTCTGACATTGCTTCTATCTAGTTTTTATTGGAAGATATCTCCTTTTTCACCGTAGACCTGAAAGCGCTCCAAATGTCCACTTCCAGATAGTACAAAAAGAGTGTTTCAAACCTGCTCTATGAAAGGGAATGTTCAACACTGGGACTTCAATTGAAACATCCCAAAGCAGTTTCTGAGAATGCTTCTGTCCAGAGTTTACATGAAGACATTCCCGTTTCCAACGAAATCCTCAAAGCTATCCAAATATCCTCTTGCAGATTTTACAAAAAGTGTGTTTCAGAACTGCTCTATCAAAACAAAGGTTCAACACTGTCAGTTGAGGGCACACATCACAAATAAGTTTCTGAGAATGCTGCTGTCTGCTTTTTGTATGTAATCCCGTTTCCAACGGAAATCCTCCCAGCTAGCCAAATATCCACTTGCAGATTCCGCAAAAAGAGTGTTTCAAAACTGCTCCTTCAAAACGATGGTTTAGTTCTGTTAGTTGAGTACATACATCACAGATAAGTTTCTGAGAATGCTTCTGTCTAGTTTTTCTGGGAGGATATTTCCTTTTTCAACACAAGCCTGAATGCGCTCCGAATGGACACTTCCAGATATGACAAAAGGCGTGTTTCAAACCTGCTCTCTCAAAGGGAATGTTCAACTCTGTGACTTCAATGCAAACATCACAAAGAAGTTTCTGAGAATGCTGGCTGTCTGCTTTTTACATGTATTCCCGTTTCCAACGAAATCCTCAAAGCTGCCCTAATATCCACTTGCATATTCCACAAAAAGAGTGTTGCAAAACTGCTCTCTCAAAGGAAAGGTTCAACTCTGTTAGCTGAGTAGATCCATCACAGAAAAGTTTCTGACGTTGCTTCTATCTAGATTTTCTTGGAAGATATTTCCATTTTCACCGTCGTCCTGAAAGCGCTCCAAATGTCCACTTCCAGGGAATGCAGAAAGAGTGTTTCCAACCTGCTCTATAAAAGGGAATGTTCAACACTGGGACTTCAATCGAAACATCCCAACGAAGTTTCTGAGAATGCTTCTGTCTAGAGTTTATATGAAGCCATTCCCGTTTGCAACGAAATCCTCAAAGCTATCCAAATATCCTCTTGCAGATTTTACAAAAAGAGTGTTTCAAAACTGCTCTATCAAAAGAAAGGTTCAACTCTGTTAGTTGAGGGCACACATCACAAATAAACTTCTGAGAATGCTTCTGTCTAGTTTTTACGGGAAGATATTTCCTTTTTCACCATACGCCTGAAAGCACTCCAAATGTCCTCATCCAGATACTACAAAAAGAGTGTTTCCAACCTGCTCTATGAAAGGGAATGCTCAACTCTGTGAATTGAATGCAGACATCACAAAGAAGTTTCTGAGAATGCTGCTGTCTCCTTTTTATATGTAATCCCGTTTCCAACGAAATCCTCAAAGCTAGCCAAATATCCACTTGCAGATTCCACGAAAACAGTGTTTCAAAACTGCTCCTTCAAAACGATGGTTCAATCCTGTTAGTTGAGCAAACACATCACAAATAAGTTTCTGAGAATGCTTCCGTCTAGTTTTTATGGGAAGATATTTCCTTTTTCAACATAGGCCTGAAAGCGCTCCAAATGTCCACTTCCAGATACTACAAAAAGAGTGTTTCAAATCTGCTCTATGAATGGGAATGTTCTACTCTGTGACTTGAATGCAACATCCCAAAGAAGTTTCTGAGAATGCTTCTGTCTAGAGTTTATCTGAAGACATACCCGTTTCCAACGAAATCCTCCAAGCTATCCAAATATCCTCTTGCAGATTCTACAAAAAGTGTGTTTCAAAGCTGCTCTTTGCAAAGAAAGGTTCAACTCTGTCAGTAGAGGGCACACATCACGAACAAGTTTCTGAGAATGCTTCTGTCTAGTTTTTATGGGAAGATATTTCCTTTTTCACGTTAGGCCTGAAAGCACGCCAAATGTTCACTTATAGACACTACAAAAAGAGTGTTTCAAACCTGCTCTGTGAAAGGGAATGTTCAACACTGTGACTTCAATTGAAATATCCCAAAGAAGTTTCTGAGAATGCTTCTGTCTAGAGTTTATCTGAAGACATTCCCGTTTCCCAAGAAATCCTCAAAGCTATCCAAATATCCTCTTGCAGATTCTACAAAAAGAGTGTTTCAAAACTGCTCTTTGCAAAGAAAGGTTCAACTCTGTCAGTAGAGGGCACACATCACAAACAAGTTTCTGAGAATGCTTCTGTCTAGTTTTTATGGGAAGATATTTCCTTTTTCACCTTAGGCCTGAAAGCAATCCATATGTTCACTTACAGACACTACAAAAAGAGTGTTTCAAACCTGCTCTGTGAAAGGGAGTGTTCAATTCTGTGACTTGAATGCAAACATCACAAAGTAGTTTCTGACAATGCTGCTGTCTGCTTTTTATACGTATTCCCGTTTCCAACGAAATCCTCCAAGCTGGCCTAATACCCACTTGCATATTCCACAAAAATAGTGTTTCAAAACTGCTCCCTCAAAAGAAAGGTTCAACTCTGTTTGCTGAGTAGATACATCATGAAAAAAGTTCTGACATTGCTTCTATCTAGTTTTTATTGGAAGATATCTCCTTTTTCACCGTAGGACCTGAAAGCGCTCCAAATGTCCACTTCCAGATAGTACAAAAAGAGTGTTTCAAACCTGCTCTATGAATGGGAATGTTCAACACTGGGACTTCAATTGAAACATCCCAAAGCAGTTTCTGAGAATGCTTCTGTCTAGAGTTTACATGAAGACATTCCCGTTTCCAACGAAATCCTCAAATCTATCCAAATATCCTCTTGCAGATTTTACAAAAAGTGTGTTTCAGAACTGCTCTATCAAAACAAAGGTTCAACACTGTCAGTTGAGGGCACACATCACAAATAAGTTTCTGAGAATGCTTCTGTCTAGTTTTCATGGGAAGATATTTCCTTTTTCACCATAGGCCTGAAAGCGATCCAAATGTCCACATCCAGATACTACAAAAAGAGTGTTTCAAACCTGCTCTATGAAAGGGAATGTTCAACTCTGTGACTTGAATGCAAACATCACAAAGAAGTTTCTGAGAATGCTGCTGTCTGCTTTTTGTATGTAATCCCGTTTCCAACGAAATCCTCCCAGCTAGCCAAATATCCACTTGCAGATTCCGCAAAAAGAGTGTTTCAAAACTGCTCCTTCAAAACGATGGTTTAGTTCTGTTAGTTGAGTACATACATCACAGATAAGTTTCTGAGAATGCTTCTGTCTAGTTTTTATGGGAGGATATTTCCTTTTTCAACACAAGCCTGAATGCGCTCCGAATGGACACTTCCAGATATGACAAAAGGCGTGTTTCAAACCTGCTCTCTCAAAGGGAATGTTCAACTCTGTGACTTCAATGCAAACATCACAAAGAAGTTTCTGAGAATGCTGCTGTCTGCTTTTTACATGTATTCCCGTTTCCAACGAAATCCTCAAAGCTGCCCTAATATCCACTTGCATATTCCACAAAAAGAGTGTTGCAAAACTGCTCTCTCAAAAGAAAGGTTCAACTCTGTTAGCTGAGTAGATCCATCACATAAAAGTTTCTGACGTTGCTTTCTATCTAGATTTTCTTGGAAGATATTTCCATTTTCACCGTCGTCCTGAAAGCGCTCCAAATGTCCACTTCCAGGGAATGCAGAAAGAGTGTTTCCAACCTGCTCTATAAAAGGGAATGTTGAACACTGGGACTTCAATCGAAACATCCCAACGAAGTTTCTGAGAATGCTTCTGTCTAGAGTTTATATGAAGCCATTCCCGTTTGCAATGAAATCCTCCAAGCTATCCAAATATCCTCTTGCAGATTTTACAAAAAGAGTGTTTCAAAACTGCTCTATCAAAAGAAAGGTTCAACTCTGTTAGTTGAGGGCACACATCACAAATAAATTTCTGAGAATCCTTCTGTCTAGTTTTCATGGGAAGATATTTCCTTTTTCACCATAGGCCTGAAAGCCGATCCAAATGTCCACATCCAGATACTACAAAAAGAGTGTTTCAAACCTGCTCTATGAAAGGGAATGTTCAACTCTGTGACTTGAATGGAAACATCACAAAGAAGTTTCTGAGAATGCTGCTGTCTGCTTTTTGTATGTAATCCCGTTTCCAACGAAATCCTCCCAGCTAGCCAAATATCCACTTGCAGATTCCGCAAAAAGAGTGTTTCAAAACTGCTCCTTCAAAACGATGGTTTAGTTCTGTTAGTTGAGTACATACATCACAGATAAGTTTCTGAGAATGCTTCTGTCTAGTTTTTATGGGAGGATATTTCCTTTTTCAACACAAGCCTGAATGCGCTCCGAATGGACACTTCCAGATATGACAAAAGGCGTGTTTCAAACCTGCTCTCTCAAAGGGAATGTTCAACTCTGTGACTTCAATGCAAACATCACAAAGAAGTTTCTGAGAATGCTGCTGTCTGCTTTTTACATGTATTCCCGTTTCCAACGAAATCCTCAAGGCTGCCCTAATATCCACTTGCATATTCCACAAAAAGAGTGTTGCAAAACTGCTCTCTCAAAAGAAAGGTTCAACTCTGTTAGCTGAGTAGATCCATCACAGAAAAGTTTCTGACGTTGCTTCTATCTAGATTTTCTTGGAAGATATTTCCATTTTCACCGTCGTCCTGAAAGCGCTCCAAATGTCCACTTCCAGGGAATGCAGAAAGAGTGTTTCCAACCTGCTCTATAAAAGGGAATGTTCAACACTGGGACTTCAATCGAAACATCCCAACGAAGTTTCTGAGAATGCTTCTGTCTAGAGTTTATATGAAGCCATTCCCGTTTGCAACGAAATCCTCAAAGCTATCCAAATATCCTCTTGCAGATTTTACAAAAAGAGTGTTTCAAAACTGCTCTATCAAAAGAAAGGTTCAACTCTGTTAGTTGAGGGCATACATCACAAATAAAATTCTGAGAATGCTTCTGTCTAGTTTTTACGGGAAGATATTTCCTTTTTCACCATACGCCTGAAGCGCTCCAAATGTCCTCATCCAGATACTACAAAAAGAGTGTTTCCAACCTGCTCTATGAAAGGGAATGCTCAACTCTGTGAATTGAATGCAGACATCACAAAGAAGTTTCTGAGAATGCTGCTGTCTCCTTTGTATATGTAATCCCGTTTCCAACGAAATCCTCAAAGCTAGCCAAATATCCACTTGCAGATTCCACGAAAACAGTGTTTCAAAACTGCTCCTTCAAAACGATGGTTCAATCCTGTTAGTTGAGCAAACACATCACAAATAAGTTTCTGAGAATGCTTCCGTCTAGTTTTTATGGGAAGATATTTCCTTTTTCAACATAGGCCTGAAAGCGCTCCAAATGTCCACTTCCAGATACTACAAAAAGAGTGTTTCAAATCTGCTCTATGAATGGGAATGTTCTACTCTGTGACTTGAATGCAACATCCCAAAGAAGTTTCTGAGAATGCTTCTGTCTAGAGTTTATCTGAAGACATACCCGTTTCCAACGAAATCCTCAAAGCTATCCACATATCCTCTTGCAGATTCTACAAAAAGAGTGTTTCAAAGCTGCTCTTTGCAAAGAAAGGTTCAACTCTGTCAGTAGAGGGCACACATCACAAACAAGTTTCTGAGAATGCTTCTGTCTAGTTTTTATGGGAAGATATTTCCTTTTTCACGTTAGGCCTGAAAGCACGCCAAATGTTCACTTATAGACACTACAAAAAGAGTGTTTCAAACCTGCTCTGTGAAAGGGAATGTTCAACACTGTGACTTCAATTGAAACATCCCAAAGAAGTTTCTGAGAATGCTTCTGTCTAGAGTTTATCTGAAGACATTCCCGTTTCCCAAGAAATCCTCAAAGCTATCCAAATATCCTCTTGCAGATTCTACAAAAAGAGTGTTTCAAAACTGCTCTTTGCAAAGAAAGGTTCAACTCTGTCAGTAGAGGGCACATATCACAAACAAGTTTCTGAGAATGCTTCTGTCTAGTTTTTATGGGAAGATATTTCCTTTTTCACCATAGGCCTGAAAGCAATCCAAATGTTCACTTACAGACACTACAAAAAGAGTGTTTCAAACCTGCTCTGTGAAAGGGAGTGTTCAATTCTGTGACTTGAATGCAAACATCACAAAGTAGTTTCTGACAATGCTGCTGTCTGCTTTTTATACGTATTCCCGTTTCCAACGAAATCCTCCAAGCTGGCCTAATACCCACTTGCATATTCCACAAAGACTGTGTCAAAACTGCTCTCTCAAAAGAAAGGTTCAACTCTGTTTGCTGAGTAGATACATCATGAAAAATGTTCTGACATTGCTTCTATCTAGTTTTTATTGGAACATATCTCCTTTTTCACCGTAGACCTGAAAGCGCTCCAAATGTCCACTTCCAGATAGTACAAAAAGAGTGTTTCAAACCTGCTCTATGAATGGGAATGTTCAACACTGGGACTTCAATTGAAACATCCCAAAGCAGTTTCTGAGAATGCTTCTGTGTAGAATTTACATGAAGACATTCCCGTTTCCAACGAAATCCTCCAAGCTATCCAAATATCCTCTTGCAGATTTTACAAAAAGTGTGTTTCAGAACTGCTCTATCAAAACAAAGGTTCAACACTGTCAGTTGAGGGCACACATCACAAATAAGTTTCTGAGAATGCTTCTGTCTAGTTTTCATGGGAAGATATTTCCTTTTTCACCATAGGCCTGAAAGCGATCCAAATGTCCACATCCAGATACTACAAAAAGAGTGTTTCCAACCTGCTCTATGAAAGGGAATGCTCAACTCTGTGAATTGAATGCAAACATCACAAAGAAGTTTCTGAGAATGCTGCTGTCTCCTTTTTATATGTAATCCCGTTTCCAACGAAATCCTCAAAGCTAGCCAAATATCCACTTGCAGATTCCACGAAAACAGTGTTTCAAAACTGCTCCTTCAAAACGATGGTTCAATCCTGTTAGTTGAGCAAACACATCACAAATAAGTTTCTGAGAATGCTTCCGTCTAGTTTTTATGGGAAGATATTTCCTTTTTCAACATAGGCCTGAAAGCGCTCCAAATGTCCACTTCCAGATACTACAAAAAGAGTGTTTCAAATCTGCTCTATGAATGGGAATGTTCTACTCTGTGACTTGAATGCAACATCCCAAAGAAGTTTCTGAGAATGCTTCTGTCTAGAGTTTATCTGAAGACATTCCCGTTTCCCAAGAAATCCTCAAAGCTATCCAAATATCCTCTTGCAGATTCTACAAAAAGAGTGTTTCAAAGCTGCTCTTTGCAAAGAAAGGTTCAACTCTGTCAGTAGAGGGCACACATCACAAACAAGTTTCTGAGAATGCTTCTGTCTAGTTTTTATGGGAAGATATTTCCTTTTTCACCTTAGGCCTGAAAGCAATCCAAATGTTCACTTACAGACACTACAAAAAGAGTGTTTCAAACCTGCTCTGTGAAAGGCAGTGTTCCATTCTGTGACTTGCATGCAAACATCACAAAGTAGTTTCTGACAATGCTGCTGTCTGCTTTTTATACGTATTCCCGTTTCCAACGAAATCCTCCAAGCTGGCCTAATACCCACTTGCATATTCCACAAAAATAGTGTTTCAAAACTGCTCCCTCAAAAGAAAGGTTCAACTCTGTTTGCTGAGTAGATACATCATGAAAAAAGTTCTGACATTGCTTCTATCTAGTTTTTATTGGAAGATATCTCCTTTTTCACCGTAGACCTGAAAGCGCTCCAAATGTCCACTTCCAGATAGTACAAAAAGAGTGTTTCAAACCTGCTCTATGAATGGGAATGTTCAACACTGGGACTTCAATTGAAACGTCCCAAAGCAGTTTCTGAGAATGCTTCTGTGTAGAGTTTACATGAAGACATTCCCGTTTCCAACGAAATCCTCAAAGCTATCCAAATATCCTCTTGCAGATTTTACAAAAAGTGTGTTTCAGAACTGCTCTATCAAAACAAAGGTTCAACACTGTCAGTTGAGGGCACACATCACAAATAAGTTTCTGAGAATGCTTCTGTCTAGTTTTCATGGGAAGATATTTCCTTTTTCACCATAGGCCTGAAAGCGATCCAAATGTCCACATCCAGATACTACAAAAAGAGTGTTTCAAACCTGCTCTATGAAAGGGAATGTTCAACTCTGTGACTTGAATGCAAACATCACAAAGAAGTTTCTGAGAATGCTGCTGTCTGCTTTTTGTATGTAATCCCGTTTCCAACGAAATCCTCCCAGCTAGCCAAATATCCACTTGCAGATTCCGCAAAAAGAGTGTTTCAAAACTGCTCCTTCAAAACGATGGTTTAGTTCTGTTAGTTGAGTACATACATCACAGATAAGTTTCTGAGAATGCTTCTGTCTAGTTTTTATGGGAGGATATTTCCTTTTTCAACACAAGCCTGAATGCGCTCCGAATGGACACTTCCAGATATGACAAAAGGCGTGTTTCAAACCTGCTCTCTCAAAGGGAATGTTCAACTCTGTGACTTCAATGCAAACATCACAAAGAAGTTTCTGAGAATGCTGCTGTCTGCTTTTTACATGTATTCCCGTTTCCAACGAAATCCTCAAAGCTGCCCTAATATCCACTTGCATATTCCACAAAAAGAGTGTTGCAAAACTGCTCTCTCAAAAGAAAGGTTCAACTCTGTTAGCTGAGTAGATCCATCACAGAAAAGTTTCTGACGTTGCTCTATCCAGATTTTATTGGAAGATATTTCCATTTTCACCGTCGTCCTGAAAGCGCTCCAATTGTCCACTTCCAGGGAATGCAGAAAGAGTGTTTCCAACCTGCTCTATAAAAGGGAATGTTCAACACTGGGACTTCAATCGAAACATCCCGACGAAGTTTCTGAGAATGCTTTCTGTCTAGAGTTTATATGAAGCCATTCCCGTTTGCAACGAAATCCTCAAAGCTATCCAAATATCCTCTTGCAGATTTTACAAAAAGAGTGTTTCAAAACTGCTCTATCAAAAGAAAGGTTCAACTCTGTTAGTTGAGGGCACACATCACAAATAAATTTCTGAGAATGCTTCTGTCTAGTTTTTACGGGAAGATATTTCCTTTTTCACCATACGCCTGAAAGCGCTCCAAAAGTCCTCATCCAGATACTACAAAAAGAGTGTTTCCAACCTGCTCTATGAAAAGGAATGCTCAACTCTGTGAATTGAATGCAGACATCACAAAGAAGTTTCTGAGAATGCTGCTGTCTCCTTTTTATATGTAATCCCGTTTCCAACGAAATCCTCAAAGCTAGCCAAATATCCACTTGCAGATTCCACGAAAACAGTGTTTCAAAACTGCTCCTTCAAAACGATGGTTCAATCCTGTTAGTTGAGCAAACACATCACAAATAAGTTTCTGAGAATGCTTCCGTCTAGTTTTTATGGGAAGATATTTCCTTTTTCAACATAGGCCTGAAAGCGCTCCAAATGTCCACTTCCAAATACTACAAAAAGAGTGTTTCAAATCTGCTCTATGAATGGGAATGTTCTACTCTGTGACTTGCATGCAACATCCCAAAGAAGTTTCTGAGAATGCTTCTGTCTAGAGTTTATCTGAAGACATACCCGTTTCCAACGAAATCCTCCAAGCTATCCAAATATCCTCTTGCAGATTCTACAAAAAGAGTGTTTCAAAGCTGCTCTTTGCAAAGAAAGGTTCAACTCTGTCAGTAGAGGGGACACATCAAGAACAAGTTTCTGAGAATGCTTCTGTCTAGTTTTTATGGGAAGATATTTCCTTTTTCACGTTAGGCCTGAAAGCACGCCAAATGTTCACTTATAGACACTACAAAAAGAGTGTTTCAAACCTGCTCTGCGAAAGGGAATGTTCAACACTGTGACTTCAATTGAAACATCCCAAAGAAGTTTCTGAGAATGCTTCTGTCTAGAGTTTATCTGAAGACATTCCCGTTTCCCAAGAAATCCTCAAAGCTATCCAAATATCCTCTTGCAGATTCTACAAAAAGAGTGTTTCAAAACTGCTCTTTGCAAAGAAAGGTTCAACTCTGTCAGTAGAGGGCACACATCACAAACAAGTTTCTGAGAATGCTTCTGTCTAATTTTTATGGGAAGATATTTCCTTTTTCACCTTAGGCCTGAAAGCAATCCAAATGTTCACTTACAGACACTACAAAAAGAGTGTTTCAAACCTGCTCTGTGAAAGGGAGTGTTCAATTCTGTGACTTGAATGCAAACATCACAAAGTAGTTTCTGACAATGCTGCTGTCTGCTTTTTATACGTATTCCCGTTTCCAACGAAATCCTCCAAGCTGGCCTAATACCCACTTGCATATTCCACAAAAAGAGTGTTTCAAAACTGCTCTCTCAAAAGAAAGGTTCAACTCTGTTTGCTGAGTAGATACATCATGAAAAAAGTTCTGACATTGCTTCTATCTAGTTTTTATTGGAAGATATCTCCTTTTTCACCGTAGACCTGAAAGCGCTCCAAATGTCCACTTCCAGATAGTACAAAAAGAGTGTTTCAAACCTGCTCCTATGAAAGGGAATGTTCAACACTGGGACTTCAATTGAAACATCCCAAAGCAGTTTCTGAGAATGCTTCTGTCTAGAGTTTACATGAAGACATTCCCGTTTCCAACGAAATCCTCAAAGCTATCCAAATATCCTCTTGCAGATTTTACAAAAAGTGTGTTTCAGAACTGCTCTATCAAAACAAAGGTTCAACACTGTCAGTTGAGGGCACACATCACAAATAAGTTTCTGAGAATGCTTCTGTCTAGTTTTCATGGGAAGATATTTCCTTTTTCACCATAGGCCTGAAAGCGATCCAAATGTCCACATCCAGATACTACAAAAAGAGTGTTTCAAACCTGCTCTATGAAAGGGAATGTTCAACTCTGTGACTTGAATGCAAACATCACAAAGAAGTTTCTGAGAATGCTGCTGTCTGCTTTTTGTATGTAATCCCGTTTCCAACGAAATCCTCCCAGCTAGCCAAATATCCACTTGCAGATTCCGCAAAAAGAGTGTTTCAAAACTGCTCCTTCAAAACGATGGTTTAGTTCTGTTAGTTGAGTACATACATCACAGATAAGTTTCTGAGAATGCTTCTGTCTAGTTTTTATGGGAGGATATTTCCTTTTTCAACACAAGCCTGAATGCGCTCCGAATGGACACTTCCAGATATGACAAAAGGCGTGTTTCAAACCTGCTCTCTCAAAGGGAATGTTCAACTCTGTGACTTCAATGCAAACATCACAAAGAAGTTTCTGAGAATGCTGCTGTCTGCTTTTTACATGTATTCCCGTTTCCAACGAAATCCTCAAAGCTGCCCTAATATCCACTTGCATATTCCACAAAAAGAGTGTTGCAAAACTGCTCTCTCAAAAGAAAGGTTCAACTCTGTTAGCTGAGTAGATCCATCACATAAAAGTTTCTGACATTGCTTCTATCTAGATTTTCTTGGAAGATATTTCCATTTTCACCGTCGTCCTGAAAGCGCTCCAAATGTCCACTTCCAGGGAATGCAGAAAGAGTGTTTCCAACCTGCTCTATAAAAGGGAATGTTCAACACTGGGACTTCAATCGAAACATCCCAACGAAGTTTCTGAGAATGCTTCTGTCTAGAGTTTATATGAAGCCATTCCCGTTTGCAACGAAATCCTCAAAGCTATCCAAATATCCTCTTGCAGATTTTACAAAAAGAGTGTTTCAAAACTGCTCTATCAAAAGAAAGGTTCAACTCTGTTAGTTGAGGGCACACATCAGAAATAAACTTCTGAGAATGCTTCTGTCTAGTTTTTACGGGAAGATATTTCCTTTTTCACCATAGGCCTGAAAGCGCTCCAAATGTCCTCATCCAGATACTACAAAAAGAGTGTTTCCAACCTGCTCTATGAAAGGGAATGCTCAACTCTGTGAATTGAATGCAGACATCACAAAGAAGTTTCTGAGAATGCTGCTGTCTCCTTTTTATATGTAATCCCGTTTCCAACGAAATCCTCAAAGCTAGCCAAATATCCACTTGCAGATTCCACGAAAACAGTGTTTCAAAACTGCTCCTTCAAAACGATGGTTCAATCCTGTTAGTTGAGCAAACACATCACAAATAAGTTTCTGAGAATGCTTCCGTCTAGTTTTTATGGGAAGATATTTCCTTTTTCAACATAGGCCTGAAAGCGCTCCAAATGTCCACTTCCAGATACTACAAAAAGAGTGTTTCAAATCTGCTCTATGAATGGGAATGTTCTACTCTGTGACTTGAATGCAACATCCCAAAGAAGTTTCTGAGAATGCTTCTGTCTAGAGTTTATCTGAAGACATACCCGTTTCCAACGAAATCCTCAAAGCTATCCAAATATCCTCTTGCAGATTCTACAAAAAGTGTGTTTCAAAGCTGCTCTTTGCAAAGAAAGGTTCAACTCTGTCTGTAGAGGGCACACATCACGAACAAGTTTCTGAGAATGCTTCTGTCTAGTTTTTATGGGAAGATATTTCCTTTTTCACGTTAGGCCTGAAAGCACGCCAAATGTTCACTTATAGACACTACAAAGAGAGTGTTTCAAACCTGCTCTGTGAAAGGGAATGTTCAAAACTGTGACTTCAATTGAAACATCCCAAAGAAGTTTCTGAGAATGCTTCTGTCTAGAGTTTATCTGAAGACATTCCCGTTTCCCAAGAAATCCTCAAAGCTATCCAAATATCCTCTTGCAGATTCTACAAAAAGAGTGTTTCAAAACTGCTCTTTGCAAAGAAAGGTTCAACTCTGTCAGTAGAGGGCACACATCACAAACAAGTTTCTGAGAATGCTTCTGTCTAGTTTTTATGGGAAGATATTTCCTTTTTCACCTTAGGCCTGAAAGCAATCCAAATGTTCACTTACAGACACTACAAAAAGAGTGTTTCAAACCTGCTCTGTGAAAGGGAGTGTTCAATTCTGTGACTTGAATGCAAACATCACAAAGTAGTTTCTGACAATGCTGCTGTCTGCTTTTTATACGTATTCCCGTTTCCAACGAAATCCTCCAAGCTGGCCTCATACCCACTTGCATATTCCACAAAAAGAGTGTTTCAAAACTGCTCTCTCAAAAGAAAGGTTCAACCCTGTTTGCTGAGTAGATACATCATGAAAAAAGTTCTGACATTGCTTCTATCTAGTTTTTATTGGAAGATATCTCCTTTTTCACCGTAGACCTGAAAGCGCTCCAAATGTCCACTTCCAGATAGTACAAAAAGAGTGTTTCAAACCTGCTCTATGAAAGGGAATGTTCAACACTGGGACTTCAATTGAAACATCCCAAAGCAGTTTCTGAGAATGCTTCTGTCTAGAGTTTACATGAAGACATTCCCGTTTCCAACGAAATCCTCAAAGCTATCCAAATATCCTCTTGCAGATTTTACAAAAAGTGTGTTTCAGAACTGCTCTATCAAAACAAAGGTTCAACACTGTCAGTTGAGGGCACACATCACAAATAAGTTTCTGAGAATGCTTCTGTCTAGTTTTCATGGGAAGATATTTCCTTTTTCACCATAGGCCTGAAAGCGATCCAAATGTCCACATCCAGATACTACAAAAAGAGTGTTTCAAACCTGCTCTATGAAAGGGAATGTTCAACTCTGTGACTTGAATGCAAACATCACAAAGAAGTTTCTGAGAATGCTGCTGTCTGCTTTTTGTATGTAATCCCGTTTCCAACGAAATCCTCCCAGCTAGCCAAATATCCACTTGCAGATTCCGCAAAAAGAGTGTTTCGAAACTGCTCCTTCAAAACGATGGTTTAGTTCTGTTAGTTGAGTACATACATCACAGATAAGTTTCTGAGAATGCTTCTGTCTAGTTTTTATGGGAGGATATTTCCTTTTTCAACACAAGCCTGAATGTGCTCCGAATGGACACTTCCAGATATGACAAAAGGCGTGTTTCAAACCTGCTCTCTCAAAGGGAATGTTCAACTCTGTGACTTCAATGCAAACATCACAAAGAAGTTTCTGAGAATGCTGCTGTCTGCTTTTTACATGTATTCCCGTTTCCAACGAAATCCTCAAAGCTGCCCTAATATCCACTTGCATATTCCACAAAAAGAGTGTTGCAAAACTGCTCTCTCAAAAGAAAGGTTCAACTCTGTTAGCTGAGTAGATCCATCACATAAAAGTTTCTGACATTGCTTCTATCTAGATTTTCTTGGAAGATATTTCCATTTTCACCGTCGTCCTGAAAGCGCTCCAAATGTCCACTTCCAGGGAATGCAGAAAGAGTGTTTCCAACCTGCTCTATAAAAGGGAATGTTCAACACTGGGACTTCAATCGAAACATCCCAACGAAGTTTCTGAGAATGCTTCTGTCTAGAGTTTATATGAAGCCATTCCCGTTTGCAACGAAATCCTCAAAGCTATCCAAATATCCTCTTGCAGATTTTACAAAAAGAGTGTTTCAAAACTGCTCTATCAAAAGAAAGGTTCAACTCTGTTAGTTGAGGGCACACATCACAAATAAATTTCTGAGAATGCTTCTGTCTAGTTTTTACGGGAAGATATTTCCTTTTTCACCATACGCCTGAAAGCGCTCCAAATGTCCTCATCCAGATACTACAAAAAGAGTGTTTCCAACCTGCTCTATGAAAGGGAATGCTCAACTCTGTGAATTGAATGCAGACATCACAAAGAAGTTTCTGAGAATGCTGCTGTCTCCTTTTTATATGTAATCCCGTTTCCAACGAAATCCTCAAAGCTAGCCAAATATCCACTTGCAGATTCCACGAAAACAGTGTTTCAAAACTGCTCCTTTAAAACGATGGTTCAATTCTGTTAGTTGAGCAAACACATCACAAGTAAGTTTCTGAGAATGCTTCCGTCTAGTTTTTATGGGAAGATATTTCCTTTTTCAACATAGGCCTGAAAGCGCTCCAAATGTCCACTTCCAGATACTACAAAAAGAGTGTTTCAAATCTGCTCTATGAATGGGAATGTTCTACTCTGTGACTTGAATGCAACATCCCAAAGAAGTTTCTGAGAATGCTTCTGTCTAGAGTTTATCTGAAGACATACCCGTTTCCAACGAAATCCTCAAAGCTATCCAAATATCCTCTTGCAGATTCTACAAAAAGAATGTTTCAAAGCTGCTCTTTGCAAAGAAAGGTTCAACTCTGTCAGTAGAGGGCACACATCATGAACAAGTTTCTGAGAATGCTTCTGTCTAGTTTTTATGGGAAGATATTTCCTTTTTCACGTTAGGCCTGAACGCACGCGAAATGTTCACTTATACACACTACAAAAAGAGTGTTTCAAACCTGCTCTGTGAAAGGGAATGTTCAACACTGTGACTTCAATTGAAACATCCCAAAGAAGTTTCTGAGAATGCTTCTGTCTAGAGTTTATCTGAAGACATTCCCGTTTCCCAAGAAATCTTCAAAGCTATCCAAATATCCTCTTGCAGATTCTACAAAAAGAGTGTTTCAAAACTGCTCTTTGCAAAGAAAGGTTCAACTCTGTCAGTAGAGGGCACACATCACAAACAAGTTTCTGAGAATGCTTCTGTCTAGTTTTTATGGGAAGATATTTCCTTTTTCACCTTAGGCCTGAAAGCAATCCATATGTTCACTTACAGACACTACAAAAAGAGTGTTTCAAACCTGCTCTGTGAAAGGGAGTGTTCAATTCTGTGACTTGAATGCAAACATCACAAAGTAGTTTCTGACAATGCTGCTGTCTGCTTTTTATACGTATTCCCGTTTCCAACGAAATCCTCCAAGCTGGCCTAATACCCACTTGCATATTCCACAAAAAGAGTGTTTCAAAACTGCTCTCTCAAAAGAAAGGTTCAACTCTGTGTGCTGAGTAGATACATCATGAAAAAAGTTCTGACATTGCTTCTATCTAGTTTTTATTGGAAGATATCTCCTTTTTCACCGTAGACCTGAAAGCGCTCCAAATGTCCACTTCCAGATAGTACAAAAAGAGTGTTTCAAACCTGCTCTATGAATGGGAATGTTCAACACTGGGACTTCAATTGAAACATCCCAAAGCAGTTTCTGAGAATGCTTCTGTCCAGAGTTTACATGAAGACATTCCCGTTTCCAACGAAATCCTCAAAGCTATCCAAATATCCTCTTGCAGATTTTACAAAAAGTGTGTTTCAGAACTGCTCTATCAAAACAAAGGTTCAACACTGTCAGTTGAGGGCACACATCGCAAATAAGTTTCTGAGAATGCTTCTGTCTAGTTTTCATGGGAAGATATTTCCTTTTTCACCATAGGCCTGAAAGCGATCCAAATGTCCACATCCAGATACTACAAAAAGAGTGTTTCAAACCTGCTCTATGAAAGGGAATGTTCAACTCTGTGACTTGAATGCAAACATCACAAAGAAGTTTCTGAGAATGCTGCTGTCTCCTTTTTATATGTAATCCCGTTTCCAACGAAATCCTCAAAGCTAGCCAAATATCCACTTGCAGATTCCACGAAAACTGTGTTTCAAAACTGCTCCTTCAAAACGATGGTTCAATCCTGTTAGTTGAGCAAACACATCACAAGTAAGTTTCTGAGAATGCTTCCCGTCTAGTTTTTATGGGAAGATATTTCCTTTTTCAACATAGGCCTGAAAGCGCTCCAAATGTCCACTTCCAGATACTACAAAAAGAGTGTTTCAAATCTGCTCTATGCATGGGAATGTTCTACTCTGTGACTTGAATGCAACATCCCAAAGAAGTTTCTGAGAATGTTTCTGTCTAGAGTTTATCTGAAGACATACCCGTTTCCAACGAAATCCTCCAAGCTATCCAAATATCCTCTTGCAGATTCTACAAAAAGAGTGTTTCAAAGCTGCTCTTTGCAAAGAAAGGTTCAACTCTGTCAGTAGAGGGCACACATCATGAACAAGTTTCTGAGAATGCTTCTGTCTGGTTTTTATGGGAAGATATTTCCTTTTTCACGTTACGCCTGAAAGCACGCCAAATGTTCACTTATAGACACTACAAAAAGAGTGTTTCAAACCTGCTCTGTGAAAGGGAATGTTCAACACTGTGACTTCAATTGAAACATCCCAAAGAAGTTTCTGAGAATGCTTCTGTCTAGAGTTTATCTGAAGACATTCCCGTTTCCCAAGAAATCCTCAAAGCTATCCAAATATCCTCTTGCAGATTCTACAAAAAGAGTGTTTCAAAGCTGCTCTTTGCAAAGAAAGGTTCAACTCTGTCAGTAGAGGGCACACATCACAAACAAGTTTCTGAGAATGCTTCTGTCTAGTTTTTATGGGAAGATATTTCCTTTTTCACCTTAGGCCTGAAAGCAATCCAAATGTTCACTTACAGACACTACAAAAAGAGTGTTTCAAACCTGCTCTGTGAAAGGGAGTGTTCAATTCTGTGACTTGAATGCAAACATCACAAAGTAGTTTCTGACAATGCTGCTGTCTGCTTTTTATACGTATTCCCGTTTCCAACGAAATCCTCCAAGCTGGCCTAATACCCACTTGCATATTCCACAAAAAGAGTGTTTCAAAACTGCTCTCTCAAAAGAAATGTTCAACTCTGTTTGCTGAGTAGATACATCACGAAAAAAGTTCTGACATTGCTTCTATCTAGTTTTTATTGGAAGATATCTCCTTTTTCACCGTAGACCTGAAAGCGCTCCAAATGTCCACTTCCAGATAGTACAAAAAGAGTGTTTCAAACCTGCTCTATGAAAGGGAATGTTCAACACTGGGACTTCAATTGAAACATCCCAAAGCAGTTTCTGAGAATGCTTCTGTCTAGAGTTTACATGAAGACATTCCCGTTTCCAACGAAATCCTCAAAGCTATCCAAATATCCTCTTGCAGATTTTACAAAAAGTGTGTTTCAGAACTGCTCTATCAAAACAAAGGTTCAACACTGTCAGTTGAGGGCACACATCACAAATAAGTTTCTGAGAATGCTTCTGTCTAGTTTTCATGGGAAGATATTTCCTTTTTCACCATAGGCCTGAAAGCGATCCAAATGTCCACATCCAGATACTACAAAAAGAGTGTTTCCAACCTGCTCTATGAAAGGGAATGCTCAACTCTGTGAATTGAATGCAAACATCACAAAGAAGTTTCTGAGAATGCTGCTGTCTCCTTTTTATATGTAATCCCGTTTCCAACGAAATCCTCAAAGCTAGCCAAATATCCACTTGCAGATTCCACGAAAACAGTGTTTCAAAACTGCTCCTTCAAAACGATGGTTCAATCCTGTTAGTTGAGCAAACACATCACAAATAAGTTTCTGAGAATGCTTCCGTCTAGTTTTTATGGGAAGATATTTCCTTTTTCAACATAGGCCTGAAAGCGCTCCAAATGTCCACTTCCAGATACTACAAAAAGAGTGTTTCAAATCTGCTCTATGAATGGGAATGTTCTACTCTGTGACTTGAATGCAACATCCCAAAGAAGTTTCTGAGAATGCTTCTATCTAGAGTTTATCTGAAGACATACCCGTTTCCAACGAAATCCTCAAAGCTATCCAAATATCCTCTTGCAGATTCTACAAAAAGAGTGTTTCAAAGCTGCTCTTTGCAAAGAAAGGTTCAACTCTGTCAGTAGAGGGCACACATCACGAACAAGTTTCTGAGAATGCTTCTGTCTAGTTTTTATGGGAAGATATTTCCTTTTTCACGTTAGGCCTGAAAGCACGCCAAATGTTCACTTATAGACACTACAAAAAGAGTGTTTCAAACCTGCTCTGTGAAAGGGAATGTTCAACACTGTGACTTCAATTGAAACATCCCAAAGAAGTTTCTGAGAATGCTTCTGTCTAGAGTTTATCTGAAGACATTCCCGTTTCCCAAGAAATCCTCAAAGCTATCCAAATATCCTCTTGCAGATTCTACAAAAAGAGTGTTTCAAAACTGCTCTTTGCAAAGAAAGGTTCAACTCTGTCAGTAGAGGGCACACATCACAAACAAGTTTCTGAGAATGCTTCTGTCTAGTTTTTATGGGAAGATATTTCCTTTTTCACCTCAGGCCTGAAATCAATCCAAATGTTCACTTACAGACACTACAAAAAGAGTGTTTCAAACCTGCTCTGTGAAAGGGAGTGTTCAATTCTGTGACTTGAATGCAAACATCACAAAGTAGTTTCTGACAATGCTGCTGTCTGCTTTTTATACGTATTCCCGTTTCCAACGAAATCCTCCAAGCTGGCCTAATACCCACTTGCATATTCCACAAAAGGAGTGTTTCAAAACTGCTCTCTCAAAAGAAAGGTTCAACTCTGTTTGCTGAGTAGATACATCATGAAAAAAGTTCTGACATTGCTTCTATCTAGTTTTTATTGGAAGATATCTGCTTTTTCACCGTAGACCTGAAAGCGCTCCAAATGTCCACTTCCAGATAGTACAAAAAGAGTGTTTCAAACCTGCTCTATGAAAGGGAATGTTCAACACTGGGACTTCAATTGAAACATCCCAAAGCAGTTTCTGAGAATGCTTCTGTCTAGAGTTTACATGAAGACATTCCCGTTTCCAACGAAATCCTCAAAGCTATCCAAATATCCTCTTGCAGATTTTACAAAAAGTGTGTTTCAGAACTGCTCTATCAAAACAAAGGTTCAACACTGTCAGTTGAGGGCACACATCACAAATAAGTTTCTGAGAATGCTTCTGTCTAGTTTTCATGGGAAGATATTTCCTTTTTCACCATAGGCCTGAAAGCGATCCAAATGTCCACATCCAGATACTACAAAAAGAGTGTTTCAAACCTGCTCTATGAAAGGGAATGTTCAACTCTGTGACTTGAATGCAAACATCACAAAGAAGTTTCTGAGAATGCTGCTCTCTGCTTTTTGTATGTAATCCCGTTTCCAACGAAATCCTCCCAGCTAGCCAAATATCCACTTGCAGATTCCGCAAAAAGAGTGTTTCAAAACTGCTCCGTCAAAACGATGGTTTAGTTCTGTTAGTTGAGTACATACATCACAAATAAGTTTCTGAGAATGCTTCTGTCTAGTTTTTATGGGAGGATATTTTCTTTTTCAACACAAGCCTGAATGCGCTCCGAATGGACACTTCCAGATATGACAAAAGGCGTGTTTCAAACCTGCTCTCTCAAAGGGAATGTTCAACTCTGTGACTTCAATGCAAACATCACAAAGAAGTTTCTGAGAATGCTGCTGTCTGCTTTTTACATGTATTCCCGTTTCCAACGAAATCCTCAAAGCTGCCCTAATATCCACTTGCATATTCCACAAAAAGAGTGTTGCAAAACTGCTCTCTCAAAAGAAAGGTTCAACTCTGTTAGCTGAGTAGATCCATCACAGAAAAGTTTCTGACGTTGCTTCTATCTAGATTTTCTTGGAAGATATTTCCATTTTCACCGTCGTCCTGAAAGCGCTCCAAATGTCCACTTCCAGGGAATGCAGAAAGAGTGTTTCCAACCTGCTCTATAAAAGGGAATGTTCAACACTGGGACTTCAATCGAAACATCCCAACGAAGTTTCTGAGAATGCTTCTGTCTAGAGTTTATATGAAGCCATTCCCGTTTGCAACGAAATCCTCAAAGCTATCCAAATATCCTCTTGCAGATTTTACAAAAAGAGTGTTTCAAAACTGCTCTATCAAAAGAAAGGTTCAACTCTGTTAGTTGAGGGCACACATCACAAATAAACTTCTGAGAATGCTTCTGTCTAGTTTTTACGGGAAGATATTTCCTTTTTCACCATAGGCCTGAAAGCGCTCCAAATGTCCTCATCCAGATACTACAAAAAGAGTGTTTCCAACCTGCTCTATGAAAGGGAATGCTCAACTCTGTGACTTGAATTTAGACATCACAAAGAAGTTTCTGAGAATGCTTGCTGTCTCCTTTTTATATGTAATCCCGTTTCCAACGAAATCCTCAAAGCTAGCCAAATATCCACTTGCAGATTCCACGAAAACAGTGTTTCAAAACTGCTCCTTCAAAACGATGGTTCAATTCTGTTAGTTGAGCAAACACATCACAAGTAAGTTTCTGAGAATGCTTCCGTCTAGTTTTTATGGGAAGATATTTCCTTTTTCAACATAGGCCTGAAAGCGCTCCAAATGTCCACTTCCAGATACTACAAAAAGAGTGTTTCAAATCTGCTCTATGAATGGGAATGTTCTACTCTGTGACTTGAATGCAACATCCCAAAGAAGTTTCTGAGAATGCTTCTGTCTAGAGTTTATCTGAAGACATACCCGTTTCCAACGAAATCCTCAAAGCTATCCAAATATCCTCTTGCAGATTCTACAAAAAGTGTGTTTCAAATCTGCTCTTTGCAAAGAAAGGTTCAACTCTGTCAGTAGAGGGCACACATCACGAACAAGTTTCTGAGAATGCTTCTGTCTAGTTTTTATGGGAAGATATTTCCTTTTTCACGTTAGGCCTGAAAGCACGCCAAATGTTCACTTATAGACACTACAAAAAGAGTGTTTCAAACCTGCTCTGTGAAAGGGAATGTTCAACACTGTGACTTCAATTGAAACATCCCAAAGAAGTTTCTGAGAATGCTTCTGTCTAGAGTTTATCTGAAGACATTCCCGTTTCCCAAGAAATCCTCAAAGCTATCCAAATATCCTCTTGCAGATTCTACAAAAAGAGTGTTTCAAAACTGCTCTTTGCAAAGAAAGGTTCAACTCTGTCAGTAGAGGGCACACATCACAAACAAGTTTCTGAGAATGCTTCTGTCTAGTTTTTATGGGAAGATATTTCCTTTTTCACCTTAGGCCTGAAAGCAATCCAAAAGTTCACTTACAGACACTACAAAAAGAGTGTTTCAAACCTGCTCTGTGAAAGGGAGTGTTCAATTCTGTGACTTGAATGCAAACATCACAAAGTAGTTTCTGACAATGCTGCTGTCTGCTTTTTATACGTATTCCCGTTTCCAACGAAATCCTCCAAGCTGGCCTAATACCCACTTGCATATTCCACAAAAAGAGTGTTTCAAAACTGCTCTCTCAAAAGAAAGGTTCAACTCTGTTTGCTGAGTAGATACATCATGAAAAAAGTTCTGACATTGCTTCTATCTAGTTTTTATTGGAAGATATCTCCTTTTTCACCGTAGACCTGAAAGCGCTCCAAATGTCCACTTCCAGATAGTACAAAAAGAGTGTTTCAAACCTGCTCTATGAATGGGAATGTTCAACACTGGGACTTCAATTGAAACATCCCAAAGCAGTTTCTGAGAATGCTTCTGTGTAGAGTTTACATGAAGACATTCCCGTTTCCAACGAAATCCTCAAAGCTATCCAAATATCCTCTTGCAGATTTTACAAAAAGTGTGTTTCAGAACTGCTCTATCAAAACAAAGGTTCAACACTGTCAGTTGAGGGCACACATCACCAATAAGTTTCTGAGAATGCTTCTGTCTAGTTTTCATGTGAAGATATTTCCTTTTTCACCATAGGCCTGAAAGCGATCCAAATGTCCACATCCAGATACTACAAAAAGAGTGTTTCAAACCTGCTCTATGAAAGGGAATGTTCAACTCTGTGACTTGAATGCAAACATCACAAAGAAGTTTCTGAGAATGCTGCTGTCTGCTTTTTGTATGTAATCCCGTTTCCAACGAAATCCCCCAGCTAGCCAAATATCCACTTGCAGATTCCGCAAAAAGAGTGTTTCAAAACTGCTCCTTCAAAACGATGGTTTAGTTCTGTTAGTTGAGTACATACATCACAGATAAGTTTCTGAGAATGCTTCTGTCTAGTTTTTATGGGAGGATATTTCCTTTTTCAACACAAGCCTGAATGCGCTCCGAATGGACACTTCCAGATATGACAAAAGGCGTGTTTCAAACCTGCTCTCTCAAAGGGAATGTTCAACTCTGTGACTTCAATGCAAACATCACAAAGAAGTTTCTGAGAATGCTGCTGTCTGCTTTTTACATGTATTCCCGTTTCCAACGAAATCCTCAAAGCTGCCCTAATATCCACTTGCATATTCCACAAAAAGAGTGTTGCAAAACTGCTCTCTCAAAAGAAAGGTTCAACTCTGTTAGCTGAGTAGATCCATCACAGAAAAGTTTCTGACGTTGCTTCTATCTAGATTTTCTTGGAAGATATTTCCATTTTCACCGTCGTCCTGAAAGCGCTCCAAATGTCCACTTCCAGGGAATGCAGAAAGAGTGTTTCCAACCTGCTCTATAAAAGGGAATGTTCAACACTGGGACTTCAATCGAAACATCCCAACGAAGTTTCTGAGAATGCTTCTGTCTAGAGTTTATATGAAGCCATTCCCGTTTGCAACGAAATCCTCAAAGCTATCCAAATATCCTCTTGCAGATTTTACAAAAAGAGTGTTTCAAAACTGCTCTATCAAAAGAAAGGTTCAACTCTGTTAGTTGAGGGCACACATCACAAATAAATTTCTGAGAATGCTTCTGTCTAGTTTTTACGGGAAGATATTTCCTTTTTCACCATACGCCTGAAAGCGCTCCAAATGTCCTCATCCAGATACTACAAAAAGAGTGTTTCCAACCTGCTCTATGAAAGGGAATGCTCAACTCTGTGAATTGAATGCAGACATCACAAAGAAGTTTCTGAGAATGCTGCTGTCTCCTTTTTATATGTAATCCCGTTTCCAACGAAATCCTCAAAGCTAGCCAAATATCCACTTGCAGATTCCACGAAAACAGTGTTTCAAAACTGCTCCTTCAAAACGATGGTTCAATTCTGTTAGTTGAGCAAACACATCACAAGTAAGTTTCTGAGAATGCTTCCGTCTAGTTTTTATGGGAAGATATTTCCTTTTTCAACATAGGCCTGAAAGCGCTCCAAATGTCCACTTCCAGATACTACAAAAAGAGTGTTTCAAATCTGCTCTATGAATGGGAATGTTCTACTCTGTGACTTGAATGCAACATCCCAAAGAAGTTTCTGAGAATGCTTCTGTCTAGAGTTTATCTGAAGACATACCCGTTTCCAACGAACTCCTCCAAGCTATCCAAATATCCTCTTGCAGATTCTACAAAAAGAGTGTTTCAAAGCTGCTCTTTGCAAAGAAAGGTTCAACTCTGTCAGTAGAGGGGACACATCAAGAACAAGTTTCTGAGAATGCTTCTGTCTAGTTTTTATGGGAAGATATTTCCTTTTTCACGTTAGGCCTGAAAGCACGCCAAATGTTCACTTATAGACACTACAAAAAGAGTGTTTCAAACCTGCTCTGTGAAAGGGAATGTTCAACACTGTGACTTCAATTGAAACATCCCAAAGAAGTTTCTGAGAATGCTTCTGTCTAGAGTTTATCTGAAGACATACCCGTTTCCAACGAAATCCTCAAAGCTATCCACATATCCTCTTGCAGATTCTACAAAAAGAGTGTTTCAAAGCTGCTCTTTGCAAAGAAAGGTTCAACTCTGTCAGTAGAGGGCACACATCACAAACAAGTTTCTGAGAATGCTTCTGTCTGGTTTTTATGGGAAGATATTTCCTTTTTCACGTTACGCCTGAAAGCACGCCAAATGTTCACTTATAGACACTACAAAAAGAGTGTTTCAAACCTGCTCTGTGAAAGGGAATGTTCAACACTGTGACTTCAATTGAAACATCCCAAAGAAGTTTCTGAGAATGCTTCTGTCTAGAGTTTATCTGAAGACATTCCCGTTTCCCAAGAAATCCTCAAAGCTATCCAAATATCCTCTTGCAGATTCTACAAAAAGAGTGTTTCAAAACTGCTCTTTGCAAAGAAAGGTTCAACTCTGTCAGTAGAGGGCACACATCACAAACAAGTTTCTGAGAATGCTTCTGTCTAGTTTTTATGGGAAGATATTTCCTTTTTCACCTTAGGCCTGAAATCAATCCAAATGTTCACTTACAGACACTACAAAAAGAGTGTTTCAAACCTGCTCTGTGAAAGGGAGTGTTCAATTCTGTGACTTGAATGCAAACATCACAAAGTAGTTTCTGACAATGCTGCTGTCTGCTTTTTATACGTAATCCCGTTTCCAACGAAATCCTCCAAGCTGGCCTAATACCCACTTGCATATTCCACAAAAGGAGTGTTTCAAAACTGCTCTCTCAAAAGAAAGGTTCAACTCTGTTTGCTGAGTAGATACATCATGAAAAAAGTTCTGACATTGCTTCTATCTAGTTTTTATTGGAAGATATCTCCTTTTTCACCGTAGACCTGAAAGCGCTCCAAATGTCCACTTCCAGATAGTACAAAAAGAGTGTTTCAAACCTGCTCTATGAAAGGGAATGTTCAACACTGGGACTTCAATTGAAACATCCCAAAGCAGTTTCTGAGAATGCTTCTGTCTAGAGTTTACATGAAGACATTCCCGTTTCCAACGAAATCCTCAAAGCTATCCAAATATCCTCTTGCAGATTTTACAAAAAGTGTGTTTCAGAACTGCTCTATCAAAACAAAGGTTCAACACTGTCAGTTGAGGGCACACATCACAAATAAGTTTCTGAGAATGCTTCTGTCTAGTTTTCATGGGAAGATATTTCCTTTTTCACCATAGGCCTGAAAGCGATCCAAATGTCCACATCCAGATACTTCAAAAAGAGTGTTTCAAACCTGCTCTATGAAAGGGAATGTTCAACTCTGTGACTTGAATGCAAACATCACAAAGTAGTTTCTGAGAATGCTGCTGTCTGCTTTTTGTATGTAATCCCGTTTCCAACGAAATCCTCCCAGCTAGCCAAATATCCACTTGCAGATTCCGCAAAAAGAGTGTTTCAAAACTGCTCCTTCAAAACGATGGTTTAGTTCTGTTAGTTGAGTACATACATCACAGATAAGTTTCTGAGAATGCTTCTGTCTAGTTTTTCTGGGAGGATATTTCCTTTTTCAAAACAAGCCTGAATGCGCTCCGAATGGACACCTCCAGATATGACAAAAGGCGTGTTTCAAACCTGCTCTCTCAAAGGGAATGTTCAACTCTGTGACTTCAATGCAAACATCACAAAGAAGTTTCTGAGAATGCTGCTGTCTGCTTTTTACATGTATTCCCGTTTCCAACGAAATCCTCAAAGCTGCCCTAATATCCACTTGCATATTCCACAAAAAGAGTGTTGCAAAACTGCTCTCTCAAAAGAAAGGTTCAACTCTGTTAGCTGAGTAGATCCATCACAGAAAAGTTTCTGACATTGCTTCTATCTAGATTTTCTTGGAAGATATTTCCATTTTCACCGTCGTCCTGAAAGCGCTCCAAATGTCCACTTCCAGGGAATGCAGAAAGAGTGTTTCCAACCTGCTCTATAAAAGGGAATGTTCAACACTGGGACTTCAATCGAAACATCCCAACGAAGTTTCTGAGAATGCTTCTGTCTAGAGTTTATATGAAGCCATTCCCGTTTGCAACGAAATCCTCAAAGCTATCCAAATATCCTCTTGCAGATTTTACAAAAAGAGTGTTTCAAAACTGCTCTATCAAAAGAAAGGTTCAACTCTGTTAGTTGAGGGCACACATCACAAATAAATTTCTGAGAATGCTTCTGTCTAGTTTTTACGGGAAGATATTTCCTTTTTCACCATACGCCTGAAAGCGCTCCAAATGTCCTCATCCAGATACTACACAAAGAGTGTTTCCAACCTGCTCTATGAAAGGGAATGCTCAACTCTGTGACTTGAATGCAGACATCACAAAGAAGTTTCTGAGAATGCTGCTGTCTCCTTTTTATATGTAATCCCGTTTCCAACGAAATCCTCAAAGCTAGCCAAATATCCACTTGCAGATTCCACGAAAACAGTGTTTCAAAACTGCTCCTTCAAAACGATGGTTCAATTCTGTTAGTTGAGCAAACACATCACAAGTAAGTTTCTGAGAATGCTTCCGTCTAGTTTTTATGGGAAGATATTTCCTTTTTCAACATAGGCCTGAAAGCGCTCCAAATGTCCACTTCCAGATACTACAAAAAGAGTGTTTCAAATCTGCTCTATGAATGGGAATGTTCTACTCTGTGACTTGAATGCAACATCCCAAAGAAGTTTCTGAGAATGCTTCTGTCTAGAGTTTATCTGAAGACATACCCGTTTCCAACGAAAACCTCCAAGCTATCCAAATATCCTCTTGCAGATTCTACAAAAAGAGTGTTTCAAAGCCGCTCTTTGCAAAGAAAGGTTCAACTCTGTCAGTAGAGGGGACACATCAAGAACAAGTTTCTGAGAATGCTTCTGTCTAGTTTTTATGGGAAGATATTTCCTTTTTCACGTTAGGCCTGAAAGCACGCCAAATGTTCACTTATAGACACTACAAAAAGAGTGTTTCAAACCTGCTCTGTGAAAGGGAATGTTCAACACTGTGACTTCAATTGAAACATCCCAAAGAAGTTTCTGAGAATGCTTCTGTCTAGAGTTTATCTGAAGACATTCCCGTTTCCCAAGAAATCCTCAAAGCTATCCAAATATCCTCTTGCAGATTCTACAAAAAGAGTGTTTCAAAACTGCTCTTTGCAAAGAAAGGTTCAACTCTGTCAGTAGAGGGCACACATCACAAACAAGTTTCTGAGAATGCTTTCTGTCTAGTTTTTATGGGAAGATATTTCCTTTTTCACCTTAGGCCTGAAAGCAATCCATATGTTCACTTACAGACACTACAAAAAGAGTGTTTCAAACCTGCTCTGTGAAAGGGAGTGTTCAATTCTGTGACTTGAATGCAAACATCACAAAGTAGTTTCTGACAATGCTGCTGTCTGCTTTTTATACGTAATCCCGTTTCCAACGAAATCCTTCAAGCTGGCCTAATACCCACTTGCATATTCCACAAAAAGAGTGTTTCAAAACTGCTCTCTCAAAAGAAAGGTTCAACTCTGTTTGCTGAGTAGATACATCATGAAAAAAGTTCTGACATTGCTTCTATCTAGTTTTTATTGGAAGATATCTCCTTTTTCACCGTAGACCTGAAAGCGCTCCAAATGTCCACTTCCAGATAGTACAAAAAGAGTGTTTCAAACCTGCTCTATGAAAGGGAATGTTCAACACTGGGACTTCAATTGAAACATCCCAAAGCAGTTTCTGAGAATGCTTCTGTCTAGAGTTTACATGAAGACATTCCCGTTTCCAACGAAATCCTCAAAGCTATCCAAATATCCTCTTGCAGATTTTACAAAAAGTGTGTTTCAGAACTGCTCTATCAAAACAAAGGTTCAACACTGTCAGTTGAGGGCACACATCACAAATAAGTTTCTGAGAATGCTTCTGTCTAGTTTTCATGGGAAGATATTTCCTTTTTCACCATAGGCCTGAAAGCGATCCAAATGTCCACATCCAGATACTACAAAAAGAGTGTTTCAAACCTGCTCTATGAAAGGGAATGTTCAACTCTGTGACTTGAATGCAAACATCACAAAGAAGTTTCTGAGAATGCTGCTGTCTGCTTTTTGTATGTAATCCCGTTTCCAACGAAATCCTCCCAGCTAGCCAAATATCCACTTGCAGATTCCGCAAAAAGAGTGTTTCAAAACTGCTCCTTCAAAACGATGGTTTAGTTCTGTTAGTTGAGTACATACATCACAGATAAGTTTCTGAGAATGCTTCTGTCTAGTTTTTATGGGAGGATATTTCCTTTTTCAACACAAGCCTGAATGCGCTCCGAATGGACACTTCCAGATATGACAAAAGGCATGTTTCAAACCTGCTCTCTCAAAGGGAATGTTCAACTCTGTGACTTCAATGCAAACATCACAAAGAAGTTTCTGAGAATGCTGCTGTCTGCTTTTTACATGTATTCCCGTTTCCAACGAAATCCTCAAAGCTGCCCTAATATCCACTTGCATATTCCACAAAAAGAGTGTTGCAAAACTGCTCTCTCAAAAGAAAGGTTCAACTCTGTTAGCTGAGTAGATCCATCACATAAAAGTTTCTGACATGGCTTCTATCTAGATTTTATTGGAAGATATTTCCATTTTCACCGTCGTCCTGAAAGCGCTCCAAATGTCCACTTCCAGGGAATGCAAAAAGAGTGTTTCCAACCTGCTCTATAAAAGGGAATGTTCAACACTGGGACTTCAATCGAAACATCCCAACGAAGTTTCTGAGAATGCTTCTGTCTAGAGTTTATATGAAGCCATTCCCGTTTGCAACGAAATCCTCAAAGCTCTCCAAATATCCTCTTGCAGATTTTACAAAAAGAGTGTTTCAAAACTGCTCTATCAAAAGAAAGGTTCAACTCTGTTAGTTGAGGGCACACATCACAAATAAATTTCTGAGAATGCTTCTGTCTAGTTTTTACGGGAAGATATTTCCTTTTTCACCATACGCCTGAAAGCGCTCCAAATGTCCTCATCCAGATACTACACAAAGAGTGTTTCCAACCTGCTCTATGAAAGGGAATGCTCAACTCTGTGACTTGAATGCAGACATCATAAAGAAGTTTCTGAGAATGCTGCTGTCTCCTTTTTATATGTAATCCCGTTTCCAACGAAATCCTCAAAGCTAGCCAAATATCCACTTGCAGATTCCACGAAAACAGTGTTTCAAAACTGCTCCTTCAAAACGATGGTTCAATTCTGTTAGTTGAGCAAACACATCACAAGTAAGTTTCTGAGAATGCTTCCGTCTAGTTTTTATGGGAAGATATATCCTTTTTCAACATAGGCCTGAAAGCGTTCCAAATGTCCACTTCCAGATACTACAAAAGAGTGTTTCAAATCTGCTCTATGAATGGGAATGTTCTACTCTGTGACTTGAATGCAACATCCCAAAGAAGTTTCTGAGAATGCTTCTGTCTAGAGTTTATCTGAAGACATACCCGTTTCCAACGAAATCCTCAAAGCTATCCAAATATCCTCTTGCAGATTCTACAAAAAGAGTGTTTCAAAGCTGCTCTTTGCAAAGAAAGGTTCAACTCTGTCAGTAGAGGGCACACATCACGAACAAGTTTCTGAGAATGCTTCTGTCTAGTTTTTATGGGAAGATATTTCCTTTTTCACGTTAGGCCTGAAAGCACGCCAAATGTTCACTTATAGACACTACAAAAAGAGTGTTTCAAACCTGCTCTGTGAAAGGGAATGTTCAACACTGTGACTTCAATTGAAACATCCCAAAGAAGTTTCTGAGAATGCTTCTGTCTAGAGTTTATCTGAAGACATTCCCGTTTCCCAAGAAATCCTCAAAGCTATCCAAATATCCTCTTGCAGATTCTACAAAAAGAGTGTTTCAAAACTGGTCTTTGCAAAGAAAGGTTCAACTCTGTCAGTAGAGGGCACACATCACAAACAAGTTTCTGAGAATGCTTCTGTCTAGTTTTTATGGGAAGACATTTCCTTTTTCACCTTAGGCCTGAAAGCAATCCAAATGTTCACTTACAGACACTACAAAAAGAGTGTTTCAAACCTGCTCTGTGAAAGGGAGTGTTCAGTTCTGTGACTTGAATGTAAACATCACAAAGTAGTTTCTGACAATGCTGCTGTCTGCTTTTTATACGTATTCCCGTTTCCAACGAAATCCTCCAAGCTGGCCTAATACCCACTTGCATATTCCACAAAAAGAGTGTTTCAAAACTGCTCTCTCAAAAGAAAGGTTCAACTCTGTTTGCTGAGTAGATACATCATGAAAAAAGTTCTGACATTGCTTCTATCTAGTTTTTATTGGAAGATATCTCCTTTTTCACCGTAGACCTGAAAGCGCTCCAAATGTCCACTTCCAGATAGTACAAAAAGAGTGTTTCAAACCTGCTCTATGAAAGGGAATGTTCAACACTGGGACTTCAATTGAAACATCCCAAAGCAGTTTCTGAGAATGCTTCTGTCTAGAGTTTACATGAAGACATTCCCGTTTCCAACGAAATCCTCAAAGCTATCCAAATATCCTCTTGCAGATTTTACAAAAAGTGTGTTTCAGAACTGCTCTATCAAAACAAAGGTTCAACACTGTCAGTTGAGGGCACACATCACAAATAAGTTTCTGAGAATGCTTCTGTCTAGTTTTCATGGGAAGATATTTCCTTTTTCACCATAGGCCTGAAAGCGATCCAAATGTCCACATCCAGATACTACAAAAAGAGTGTTTCAAACCTGCTCTATGAAAGGGAATGTTCAACTCTGTGACTTGAATGCAAACATCACAAAGAAGTTTCTGAGAATGCTGCTGTCTGCTTTTTGTATGTAATCCCGTTTCCAACGAAATCCTCCCAGCTAGCCAAATATCCACTTGCAGATTCCGCAAAAAGAGTGTTTCAAAACTGCTCCTTCAAAACGATGGTTTAGTTCTGTTAGTTGAGTACATACATCACAGATAAGTTTCTGAGAATGCTTCTGTCTAGTTTTTATGGGAGGATATTTCCTTTTTCAACACAAGCCTGAATGCGCTCCGAATGGACACTTCCAGATATGACAAAAGGCGTGTTTCAAACCTGCTCTCTCAAAGGGAATGTTCAACTCTGTGACTTCAATGCAAACATCACAAAGAAGTTTCTGAGAATGCTGCTGTCTGCTTTTTACATGTATTCCCGTTTCCAACGAAATCCTCAAAGCTGCCCTAATATCCACTTGCATATTCCACAAAAAGAGTGTTGCAAAACTGCTCTCTCAAAAGAAAGGTTCAACTCTGTTAGCTGAGTAGATCCATCACATAAAAGTTTCTGACGTTGCTTCTATCTAGATTTTGCTTGGAAGATATTTCCATTTTCACCGTCGTCCTGAAAGCGCTCCAAATGTCCACTTCCAGGGAATGCAGAAAGAGTGTTTCCAACCTGCTCTATAAAAGGGAATGTTCAACACTGGGACTTCAATCGAAACATCCCAACGAAGTTTCTGAGAATGCTTCTGTCTAGAGTTTATATGAAGCCATTCCCGTTTGCAACGAAATCCTCAAAGCTATCCAAATATCCTCTTGCAGATTTTACAAAAAGAGTGTTTCAAAACTGCTCTATCAAAAGAAAGGTTCAACTCTGTTAGTTGAGGGCACACATCACAAATAAATTTCTGAGAATGCTTCTGTCTAGTTTTTACGGGAAGATATTTCCTTTTTCACCATACGCCTGAAAGCGCTCCAAATGTCCTCATCCAGATACTACAAAAAGAGTGTTTCCAACCTGCTCTATGAAAGGGAATGCTCAACTCTGTGAATTGAATGCAGACATCACAAAGAAGTTTCTGAGAATGCTGCTGTCTCCTTTTTATATGTAATCCCGTTTCCAACGAAATCCTCAAAGCTAGCCAAATATCCACTTGCAGATTCCACGAAAACAGTGTTTCAAAACTGCTCCTTCAAAACGATGGTTCAATCCTGTTAGTTGAGCAAACACATCACAAATAAGTTTCTGAGAATGCTTCCGTCTAGTTTTTATGGGAAGATATTTCCTTTTTCAACATAGGCCTGAAAGCGCTCCAAATGTCCACTTCCAGATACTACAAAAAGAGTGTTTCAAATCTGCTCTATGAATGGGAATGTTCTACTCTGTGACTTGAATGCAACATCCCAAAGAAGTTTCTGAGAATGCTTCTGTCTAGAGTTTATCTGAAGACATACCCGTTTCCAACGAAATCCTCAAAGCTATCCAAATATCCTCTTGCAGATTCTACAAAAAGTGTGTTTCAAAGCTGCTCTTTGCAAAGAAAGGTTCAACTCTGTCAGTAGAGGGCACACATCACGAACAAGTTTCTGAGAATACTTCTGTCTAGTTTTTATGGGAAGATATTTCCTTTTTCACGTTAGGCCTGAAAGCACGCCAAATGTTCACTTATAGACACTACAAAAAGAGTGTTTGAAACCTGCTCTGTGAAAGGGAATGTTCAACACTGTGACTTCAATTGAAACATCCCAAAGAAGTTTCTGAGAATGCTTCTGTCTAGAGTTTATCTGAAGACATTCCCGTTTCCCAAGAAATCCTCAAAGCTATCCAAATATCCTCTTGCAGATTCTACAAAAAGAGTGTTTCAAAACTGCTCTTTGCAAAGAAAGGTTCAACTCTGTCAGTAGAGGGCACACATCACAAACAAGTTTCTGAGAATGCTTCTGTCTAGTTTTTATGGGAAGATATTTCCTTTTTCACCTTAGGCCTGAAAGCAATCCAAATGTTCACTTACAGACACTACAAAAAGAGTGTTTCAAACCTGCTCTGTGAAAGGGAGTGTTCAATTCTGTGACTTGAATGCAAACATCACAAAGTAGTTTCTGACAATGCTGCTGTCTGCTTTTTATACGTATTCCCGTTTCCAACGAAATCCTCCAAGCTGGCCTAATACCCACTTGCATATTCCACAAAAAGAGTGTTTCAAAACTGCTCTCTCAAAAGAAAGGTTCAACTCTGTTTGCTGAGTAGATACATCATGAAAAAAGTTCTGACATTGCTTCTATCTAGTTTTTATTGGAAGATATCTCCTTTTTCACCGTAGACCTGAAAGCGCTCCAAATGTCCACTTCCAGATAGTACAAAAAGAGTGTTTCAAACCTGCTCTATGAATGGGAATGTTCAACACTGGGACTTCAATTGAAACATCCCAAAGCAGTTTCTGAGAATGCTTCTGTGTAAAGTTTACATGAAGACATTCCCGTTTCCAACGAAATCCTCAAAGCTATCCAAATATCCTCTTGCAGATTTTACAAAAAGTGTGTTTCAGAACTGCTCTATCAAAACAAAGGTTCAACACTGTCAGTTGAGGGCACACATCACAAATAAGTTTCTGAGAATGCTTCTGTCTAGTTTTCATGGGAAGATATTTCCTTTTTCACCATAGGCCTGAAAGCGATCCAAATGTCCACATCCAGATACTACAAAAAGAGTGTTTCAAACCTGCTCTATGAAAGGGAATGTTCAACTCTGTGACTTGAATGCAAACATCACAAAGAAGTTTCTGAGAATGCTGCTGTCTGCTTTTTGTATGTAATCCCGTTTCCAACGAAATCCTCCCAGCTAGCCAAATATCCACTTGCAGATTCCGCAAAAAGAGTGTTTCAAAACTGCTCCTTCAAAACGATGGTTTAGTTCTGTTAGTTGAGTACATACATCACAGATAAGTTTCTGAGAATGCTTCTGTCTAGTTTTTCTGGGAGGATATTTCCTTTTTCAACACAAGCCTGAATGCGCTCCGAATGGACACTTCCAGATATGACAAAAGGCGTGTTTCAAACCTGCTCTCTCAAAGGGAATGTTCAACTCTGTGACTTCAATGCAAACATCACAAAGAAGTTTCTGAGAATGCTGCTGTCTGCTTTTTACATGTATTCCCGTTTCCAACGAAATCCTCAAAGCTGCCCTAATATCCACTTGCATATTCCACAAAAAGAGTGTTGCAAAACTGCTCTCTCAAAAGAAAGGTTCAACTCTGTTAGCTGAGTAGATCCATCACATAAAAGTTTCTGACATTGCTTCTATCTAGATTTTCTTGGAAGATATTTCCATTTTCACCGTCGTCCTGAAAGCGCTCCAAATGTCCACTTCCAGGGAATGCAGAAAGAGTGTTTCCAACCTGCTCTATAAAAGGGAATGTTCAACACTGGGACTTCAATCGAAACATCCCAACGAAGTTTCTGAGAATGCTTCTGTCTAGAGTTTATATGAAGCCATTCCCGTTTGCAACGAAATCCTCAAAGCTATCCAAATATCCTCTTGCAGATTTTACAAAAAGAGTGTTTCAAAACTGCTCTATCAAAAGAAAGGTTCAACTCTGTTAGTTGAGGGCACACATCACAAATAAATTTCTGAGAATGCTTCTGTCTAGTTTTTACGGGAAGATATTTCCTTTTTCACCATACGCCTGAAAGCGCTCCAAATGTCCTCATCCAGATACTACAAAAAGAGTGTTTCCAACCTGCTCTATGAAAGGGAATGCTCAACTCTGTGACTTGAATGCAGACATCACAAAGAAGTTTCTCAGAATGCTGCTGTCTCCTTTGTATATGTAATCCCGTTTCCAACGAAATCCTCAAAGCTAGCCAAATATCCACTTGCAGATTCCACGAAAACAGTGTTTCAAAACTGCTCCTTCAAAACGATGGTTCAATCCTGTTAGTTGAGCAAACACATCACAAATAAGTTTCTGAGAATGCTTTCCGTCTAGTTTTTATGGGAAGATATTTCCTTTTTCAACATAGGCCTGAAAGCGCTCCAAATGTCCACTTCCAGATACTACAAAAAGAGTGTTTCAAATCTGCTCTATGAATGGGAATGTTCTACTCTGTGACTTGAATGCAACATCCCAAAGAAGTTTCTGAGAATGCTTCTGTCTAGAGTTTATCTGAAGACATACCCGTTTCCAACGAAATCCTCCAAGCTATCCAAATATCCTCTTGCAGATTCTACAAAAAGAGTGTTTCAAAGCTGCTCTTTGCAAAGAAAGGTTCAACTCTGTCAGTAGAGGGGACACATCAAGAACAAGTTTCTGAGAATGCTTCTGTCTAGTTTTTATGGGAAGATATTTCCTTTTTCACGTTAGGCCTGAAAGCACGCCAAATGTTCACTTATAGACACTACAAAAAGAGTGTTTCAAACCTGCTCTGTGAAAGGGAATGTTCAACACTGTGACTTCAATTGAAACATCCCAAAGAAGTTTCTGAGAATGCTTCTGTCTAGAGTTTATCTGAAGACATTCCCGTTTCCCAAGAAATCCTCAAAGCTATCCAAATATCCTCTTGCAGATTCTACAAAAAGAGTGTTTCAAAACTGCTCTTTGCAAAGAAAGGTTCAACTCTGTCAGTAGAGGGCACACATCACAAACAAGTTTCTGAGAATGCTTCTGTCTAGTTTTTATGGGAAGATATTTCCTTTTTCACCTTAGGCCTGAAAGCAATACAAATGTTCACTTACAGACACTACAAAAAGAGTGTTTCAAACCTGCTCTGTGAAAGGGAGTGTTCAGTTCTGTGACTTGAATGCAAACATCACAAAGTAGTTTCTGACAATGCTGCTGTCTGCTTTTTATACGTATTCCCGTTTCCAACGAAATCCTCCAAGCTGGCCTAATACCCACTTTCATATTCCACAAAAAGAGTGTTTCAAAACTGCTCTCTCAAAAGAAAGGTTCAACTCTGTTTGCTGAGTAGATACATCATGAAAAAAGTTCTGACATTGCTTCTATCTAGTTTTTATTGGAAGATATCTCCTTTTTCACCGTAGACCTGAAAGCGCTCCAAATGTCCACTTCCAGATAGTACAAAAAGAGTGCTTCAAACCTGCTCTATGAATGGGAATGTTCAACACTGGGACTTCAATTGAAACATCCCAAAGCAGTTTCTGAGAATGCTTCTGTGTAGAGTTTACATGAAGACATTCCCGTTTCCAACGAAATCCTCAAAGCTATCCAAATATCCTCTTGCAGATTTTACAAAAAGTGTGTTTCAGAACTGCTCTATCAAAACAAAGGTTCAACACTGTCAGTTGAGGGCACACATCACAAATAAGTTTCTGAGAATGCTTCTGTCTAGTTTTCATGGGAAGATATTTCCTTTTTCACCATACGCCTGAAAGCGATCCAAATGTCCACATCCAGATACTACAAAAAGAGTGTTTCAAACCTGCTCTATGAAAGGGAATGTTCAACTCTGTGACTTGAATGCAAACATCACAAAGAAGTTTCTGAGAATGCTGCTGTCTGCTTTTTGTATGTAATCCCGTTTCCAACGAAATCCTCCCAGCTAGCCAAATATCCACTTGCAGATTCCGCAAAAAGAGTGTTTCAAAACTGCTCCTTCAAAACGATGGTTTAGTTCTGTTAGTTGAGTACATACATCACAGATAAGTTTCTGAGAATGCTTCTGTCTAGTTTTTATGGGAGGATATTTCCTTTTTCAACACAAGCCTGAATGCGCTCCGAATGGACACTTCCAGATATGACAAAAGGCGTGTTTCAAACCTGCTCTCTCAAAGGGAATGTTCAACTCTGTGACTTCAATGCAAACATCACAAAGAAGTTTCTGAGAATGCTGCTGTCTGCTTTTTACATGTATTCCCGTTTCCAACGAAATCCTCAAAGCTGCCCTAATATCCACTTGCATATTCCACAAAAAGAGTGTTGCAAAACTGCTCTCTCAAAAGAAAGGTTCAACTCTGTTAGCTGAGTAGATCCATCACATAAAAGTTTCTGACATTGCTTCTATCTAGATTTTCTTGGAAGATATTTCCATTTTCACCGTCGTCCTGAAAGCGCTCCAAATGTCCACTTCCAGGGAATGCAGAAAGAGTGTTTCCAACCTGCTCTATAAAAGGGAATGTTCAACACTGGGACTTCAATCGAAACATCCCAACGAAGTTTCTGAGAATGCTTCTGTCTAGAGTTTATATGAAGCCATTCCCGTTTGCAATGAAATCCTCAAAGCTATCCAAATATCCTCTTGCAGATTTTACAAAAAGAGTGTTTCAAAACTGCTCTATCAAAAGAAAGGTTCAACTCTGTTAGTTGAGGGCACACATCACAAATAAATTTCTGAGAATGCTTCTGTCTAGTTTTCATGTGAAGATATTTCCTTTTTCACCATAGGCCTGAAAGCGATCCAAATGTCCACATCCAGATACTACAAAAAGAGTGTTTCAAACCTGCTCTATGAAAGGGAATGTTCAACTCTGTGACTTGAATGCAAACATCACAAAGAAGTTTCTGAGAATGCTGCTGTCTGCTTTTTGTATGTAATCCCGTTTCCAACGAAATCCTCCCAGCTAGCCAAATATCCACTTGCAGATTCCGCAAAAAGAGTGTTTCAAAACTGCTCCTTCAAAACGATGGTTTAGTTCTGTTAGTTGAGTACATACATCACAGATAAGTTTCTGAGAATGCTTCTGTCTAGTTTTTATGGGAGGATATTTCCTTTTTCAACACAAGCCTGAATGCGCTCCGAATGGACACTTCCAGATATGACAAAAGGCGTGTTTCAAACCTGCTCTCTCAAAGGGAATGTTCAACTCTGTGACTTCAATGCAAACATCACAAAGAAGTTTCTGAGAATGCTGCTGTCTGCTTTTTACATGTATTCCCGTTTCCAACGAAATCCTCAAAGCTGCCCTAATATCCACTTGCATATTCCACAAAAAGAGTGTTGCAAAACTGCTCTCTCAAAAGAAAGGTTCAACTCTGTTAGCTGAGTAGATCCATCACATAAAAGTTTCTGACATTGCTTCTATCTAGATTTTCTTGGAAGATATTTCCATTTTCACCGTCGTCCTGAAAGCGCTCCAAATGTCCACTTCCAGGGAATGCAGAAAGAGTGTTTCCAACCTGCTCTATAAAAGGGAATGTTCAACACTGGGACTTCAATCGAAACATCCCAACGAAGTTTCTGAGAATGCTTCTGTCTAGAGTTTATATGAAGCCATTCCCGTTTGCAACGAAATCCTCAAAGCTATCCAAATATCCTCTTGCAGATTTTACAAAAAGAGTGTTTCAAAACTGCTCTATCAAAAGAAAGGTTCAACTCTGTTAGTTGAGGGCACACATCACAAATAAATTTCTGAGAATGCTTCTGTCTAGTTTTTACGGGAAGATATTTCCTTTTTCACCATACGCCTGAAAGCGCTCCAAATGTCCTCATCCAGATACTACAAAAAGAGTGTTTCCAACCTGCTCTATGAAAGGGAATGCTCAACTCTGTGACTTGAATGCAGACAGCACAAAGAAGTTTCTGAGAATGCTGCTGTCTCCTTTTTATATGTAATCCCGTTTCCAACGAAATCCTCAAAGCTAGCCAAATATCCACTTGCAGATTCCACGAAAACAGTGTTTCAAAACTGCTCCTTCAAAACGATGGTTCAATTCTGTTAGTTGAGCAAACACATCACAAGTAAGTTTCTGAGAATGCTTCCGTCTAGTTTTTATGGGAAGATATTTCCTTTTTCAACATAGGCCTGAAAGCGCTCCAAATGTACACTTCCAGATACTACAAAAAGAGTGTTTCAAATCTGCTCTATGAATGGGAATGTTCTACTCTGTGACTTGAATGCAACATCCCAAAGAAGTTTCTGAGAATGCTTCTGTCTAGAGTTTATCTGAAGACATACCCGTTTCCAACGAAATCCTCAAAGCTATCCAAATATCCTCTTGCAGATTCTACAAAAAGAATGTTTCAAAGCTGCTCTTTGCAAAGAAAGGTTCAAGTCTGTCAGTAGAGGGCACACATCACGAACAAGTTTCTGAGAATGCTTCTGTCTAGTTTTTATGGGAAGATATTTCCTTTTTCACGTTAGGCCTGAAAGCACGCCAAATGTTCACTTATAGACACTACAAAAAGAGTGTTTCAAACCTGCTCTGTGAAAGGGAATGTTCAACACTGTGACTTCAATTGAAACATCCCAAAGAAGTTTCTGAGAATGCTTCTGTCTAGAGTTTATCTGAAGACATTCCCGTTTCCCAAGAAATCCTCAAAGCTATCCAAATATCCTCTTGCAGATTCTACAAAAAGAGTGTTTCAAAACTGCTCTTTGCAAAGAAAGGTTCAACTCTGTCAGTAGAGGGCACACATCACAAACAAGTTTCTGAGAATGCTTCTGTCTAGTTTTTATGGGAAGATATTTCCTTTTTCACCTTAGGCCTGAAAGCAATCCATATGTTCACTTACAGACACTACAAAAAGAGTGTTTCAAACCTGCTCTGTGAAAGGGAGTGTTCAATTCTGTGACTTGAATGCAAACATCACAAAGTAGTTTCTGACAATGCTGCTGTCTGCTTTTTATACGTATTCCCGTTTCCAACGAAATCCTCCAAGCTGGCCTAATACCCACTTGCATATTCCACAAAGACTGTGTCAAAACTGCTCTCTCAAAAGAAAGGTTCAACTCTGTTTGCTGAGTAGATACATCATGAAAAACGTTCTGACATTGCTTCTATCTAGTTTTTATTGGAAGATATCTCCTTTTTCACCGTAGACCTGAAAGCGCTCCAAATGTCCACTTCCAGATAGTACAAAAAGAGTGTTTCAAACCTGCTCTATGAATGGGAATGTTCAACACTGGGACTTCAGTTGAAACATCCCAAAGCAGTTTCTGAGAATGCTTCTGTCTAGAGTTTACATGAAGACATTCCCGTTTCCAACGAAATCCTCAAAGCTATCCAAATATCCTCTTGCAGATTTTACAAAAAGTGTGTTTCAGAACTGCTCTATCAAAACAAAGGTTCAACACTGTCAGTTGAGGGCACACATCACAAATAAGTTTCTGAGAATGCTTCTGTCTAGTTTTCATGGGAAGATATTTCCTTTTTCACCATAGGCCTGAAAGCGATCCAAATGTCCACATCCAGATACTACAAAAAGAGTGTTTCAAACCTGTTCTATGAAAGGGAATGTTCAACTCTGTGACTTGAATGCAAACATCACAAAGAAGTTCATGAGAATGCTGCTGTCTGCTTTTTGTATGTAATCCCGTTTCCAACGAAATCCTCCAAGCTAGGCAAATATCCACTTGCAGATTCCGCAAAAAGAGTGTTTCAACACTGCTTCTTCAAAACGGTGGTTTAGTTCTGTTAGTTGAGTACATACATCACAGATAAGTTTCTCAGAATGCTTCTGTCTAGTTTTTATGGGAGGATATTTCCTTTCTCAACACAAGCCTGAATGCGCTCCGAATGGACACTTCCAGATATGACAGAAGGCGTGTTTCAAACCTGCTTTCTCAAAGGGAATGTTCAACTCTGTGACTTCAATGCAAACATCACAAAGAAGTTTCTGAGAATGCTGCTGTCTGCTTTTTACATGTATTCCCGTTTCCAACGAAATCCTCAAAGCTGCCCTAATATCCACTTGCATATTCCACAAAAAGAGTGTTGCAAAACTGCTCTCTCAAAAGAAAGGTTCAACTCTGTTAGCTGAGTAGATCCATCACAGAAAAGTTTCTGACGTTGCTTCTATCTAGATTTTATTGGAAGATATTTCCATTTTCACCGTCGTCCTGAAAGCGCTCCAAATGTCCACTTCCAGGGAATGCAGAAAGAGTGTTTCCAACCTGCTCTATAAAAGGGAATGTTCAACACTGGGACTTCAATCGAAACATCCCAACGAAGTTTACTGAGAATGCTGAAGCATTCTCAGAAACTTGTTTAGGATGTGTGTACTCAACTAACAGAGTTGAAACTTTCTTTTGATAGAGCAAAACAGTAAATTGAAGTTTAAAATAATTGTAACAATTGCATCTTATATATCAGGTGAGATTTCATAGTTTGGTTCAAGTAGTTTTCAAGTGACAAATTTTCAAGTTTTTAAGTTTTCAAGAGTTGTGCAAGTTCATCAGCCAGAAATCAAGCAAAAGGCTAGATAAGTAGCAGCAGGTGCAGGATTCTTGATATTGAAACTTTTAGGACTTTTCTCCTTCAGGATTCCAATGTTGTACATTTTATTTCCAGTATAACCCCTATGCATGGGATAAAGTAGTTTCACATGTTTGATTTTTCTAATTAGTTATTTGGGTTTCAAAATGTCCAGTTTATCAAAAAATCTTGTGCTGTGTACTGGGGACCATCTACTATAGCCTGATCATTGAATTTTTCAAGAACCTAAGGGGTTCCCTAAGTCCAAGGAAGACAATCAGTGTCTACAAGTCAGGAGGAGAAGGGGAAA